>NC_000017.11:4885050-5036565 GCF_000001405.40 Homo sapiens | reverse complement strand
GTGGCAGGCGTCTGTAATCCCAGCTACTCGGGAGTCTGAGGCAGGAGAATGGCGTGAACCTGGAAGGTGGAGCTTGCAGTGAGCCGAGATCGCGCCACTGCACTCCAGCCTGGGCGACAGAGCGAGACTCCGTCTCAAAAAAAAAAAAAAAAAAAAAAAAAAGCAAAAATTAGCCAGGTGTGCACACCACGTCCAGCTAATTTTTTTTCAACCATTTAAAAGTGTAAAAACAGCTGGCCAGGCACGGTGGCTCACGCCTGTAATCCCCAACACTTTGGGAGGCCGGGGCAGGTGGATCACCTGAGGTCAGGAGTTCAAGACCAGCCTAGCTAACATGGCGAGACCCTGTGCACTAAAAAGACAAAAATTAGCAGGGCATGGTGGTGGGCGCCTGTAATTCCAGCTACTCGGGAGGCTGAGGCAGGAGAATGGCTTGAACCCGGGAGGCAGAGGCTCGTGCCATTGCACTCCAGCCTGGGCAACAAGAGCAAAACTCCGTCTCAAAAAAAAAAAAAAAAAAAAAAAGTGTAAAAACAGCTGAGCGTGGCGGTAGCTAGGTGTGGTGCGTCTGTAGTCCCAGCTACTTGGGAGGCTGAGGTAGGAAGATTGCTTGAGCCCAGGAGTGCCAAGCCAGCCTGAGCAACATAGTGAGACCTTGTCTCTACCAAAAAAAAAAAAAAAAAAAAAAAAAATTAGCTGGACATGGTGATGCTCGCCTGTGGTCCCAGCTACTTGTGGGGGGGTGGGGAGAGGCTGAGTGGGAGGATCCCTTGAGCTTGGGAGGTTGAGGCTGTAGTGAGCCGCGATCGCGCACCGCTGCGCTCTAGCCTGGGTGACAGAGTGAGACCCCGTCTCAAAATTAATTAATTAATTAAAACAACAAACAACAAAACCCCAGCTGTGTGGGCTCTGGGCTGGGCCGCCTCCCCGGCGGAGGGGGCTCCCTCTCAGGCAGACCGCCAGCCGCTGGGTCCGGGGACTGCCGGATCCGGAGGTGCGGGGACCCCTGCGCACCTGGCGGCTCCCGGGATGCCCCCCTGAGGCAGGCGGGAGGGCAGCACGGAGACGCCCCTCCGGGCAGAGCCCGCCCCAGCCACTCCCCTCTCCAACTCGACCTGCCTCAGCAAGTCCTGAGTGTCGCAAAAGCGCTAGGGTTGCAAGTGGCACCAGAGACGTGCCCTTGTCCCGGGGTCCATTTGAGGGTGAGCGTGTTGGTGCCGAGCTGTTTTTTTGTTTTGTTTTGTTTTGTTTTGTTTTTGAGACCGAATCTCGTTCTGTCGCCCAGGCTGGAATGCAGTGGTGTGATCTTGGCTCACTGCAACCTCCACCTTCCGGGTTCAAGTGAATCTCCTGCCTCAGCCTCCTGAGTAGCTGGGATTACTGGCACCCACCACCACGACCAGCTAATTTTTGTATTTTTAGTAGAGACGGGTTTTCACCATGTTGGCCAGGATGGTCTCAATCTCCTGACCTCAGGCGATCTGCCTTCCTCAGCTTCCCAAAGTGCTGGGATTACAGGTGTGAGCCACCGCACCCGGCCAGTGCTGAGCTGTTTTGACAACTTGGACCCCGGGTCCTCTGTGGGTAGGAAAATCAGCTCCCTCTTTGCTCCTCTGGGGCAGCTGCACCTCGGGCCAGCTTTCTGCCTGTCTGCCTGCCGGCACTGCTGGGTCGCTGTACCCAAACGCACAGCCGGTGCCCCGTGGTAAGTCCTGGCTCCCCACCTTCCCCGCCCGCCCCCGGCCACCTCTCCCTCCAGTTGCCCTGGTCTTAGCAGTCTGACCGACTTGTCTTCTGACTCCGGTTCTGTCCCACCAGCCTATTACCTGCCAGCCTGTCTGTTTCCCTCCAGCTAGAAGGTCTTCAGTTTCCAGAAGAACCAAAGCATCTTTGGACCTACCTAGGGAAGGACCTGCCTGTGACCTTTGCCCTGTCCTGGAGGGTCCAGCTTTGGGCTGAATGGCAGCACCCACGCTGGGCCGTCTGGTGCTGACCCACCTGCTGGTGGCCCTTTTTGGCATGGGCTCCTGGGCTGCTGTGAACGGGATCTGGGTGGAGCTGCCTGTGGTGGTAAAAGACCTTCCAGAGGGTGAGTGGGAGGGAGGTACAGGGAAGCGTGGGGCAGGTATGCCCAGAAAGGTGGCCTGTGGCAGCTCTTTGTCCCTTAGCCACTGTGCTCCTGACATGGCATCATTCCTTCCCTGCAGGTTGGAGCCTCCCCTCATACCTCTCTGTGGTTGTGGCGCTGGGAAACCTGGGTCTGCTGGTGGTGACCCTGTGGAGGCAGCTGGCCCCGGGCAAGGGCGAGCAGGTCCCCATCCAGGTGGTACAGGTGCTGAGTGTAGTGGGCACAGCCCTGCTGGCCCCTCTGTGGCACCACGTGGCCCCAGTGGCAGGGCAGCTCCACTCTGTGGCCTTCCTAACTCTGGCCTTGGTGTTGGCAATGGCCTGTTGTACCTCTAATGTCACTTTCCTGCCCTTCCTGAGCCACCTGCCACCTCCTTTCTTACGGTCTTTCTTCCTGGGTCAGGGTCTCAGTGCCCTACTCCCCTGTGTGCTGGCCCTAGTGCAAGGTGTGGGCCGCCTCGAGTGCCCACCAGCGCCCACCAATGGCACCTCTGGGCCTCCCCTCGACTTCCCTGAGCGTTTTCCTGCCAGCACCTTCTTCTGGGCACTGACTGCCCTTCTGGTCACTTCAGCTGCCGCCTTCCGGGGTCTCCTGTTGCTGTTGCCATCACTACCCTCTGTAACCACAGGGGGCTCAGGGCCTGAACTTCAACTGGGATCCCCAGGAGCAGAGGAGGAAGAGAAGGAGGAAGAAGAGGCTTTGCCATTGCAGGAGCCACCGAGCCAGGCAGCAGGCACCATCCCTGGCCCAGACCCTGAGGCCCATCAGCTGTTCTCAGCCCATGGTGCCTTCCTGCTGGGCCTGATGGCCTTCACCAGTGCCGTGACCAATGGCGTGCTGCCTTCTGTGCAGAGCTTTTCCTGTTTGCCCTATGGGCGCCTGGCCTACCACCTGGCTGTGGTGCTGGGCAGTGCCGCCAACCCCCTTGCCTGCTTCCTGGCCATGGGCGTGCTGTGCAGGTGCAAAAGGGTCCCCAGGCTTGGTGGGTGGAACTTAAGGTTGGGGTCCAGGTCCCAGAACAGCCAGCCCTGAGTCTCTGCTCATCCCCAACAGGTCCCTGGCAGGGCTGGTTGGTCTTTCTCTGCTGGGCATGCTCTTTGGGGCCTACCTGATGGCACTGGCAATCCTGAGCCCCTGCCCACCCCTGGTGGGCACCACTGCAGGGGTGGTCCTTGTGGTGAGCAAGTGGAGACATGAAGTGGGGAGGAGGGTGTCCCCTGGAGCAAGTGCATGTCATGCTCAGCCTGCTGCTGTGTCCTCCCTTGCAGGTGCTGTCGTGGGTGCTGTGTCTGTGTGTGTTCTCATATGTGAAGGTGGCTGCAAGCTCCCTGCTGCATGGTGGGGGTCGGCCGGCATTGCTGGCAGCTGGTGTGGCCATCCAAGTGGGCTCCCTGCTTGGTGCCGGTGCCATGTTCCCTCCCACCAGCATCTACCACGTGTTTCAAAGCAGAAAGGACTGTGTAGACCCCTGTGGCCCCTGAGCCTGGGCAGGTGGGGACCCAACTCCACCCCACCTGTCTTCATCGTGAGGCTGCCACAGTGCCTGACTACTTGTGGCCCAGGCAGGCTTCCCCCAACACAGGAACGCTCATGGACACCTGCACACTCCACAGAAGACGTTGGCATGTGAGGCCAGGGTGGGCACCAAAGACCAGGCCCAGAGCCAGGGGACAGGTTGGGGCTGTGGGCTTGGACCCAGGGCCTGAGACCTTTGTGGGATTTGTGCAATAAAGTGTTTTTATTTAAAACCAAAAACAAAAACAAAAGCCTAATGAAAACCTTATAAGAAATATATAATGAAATCAGGAAACTGGATTAAATAATTTTTCATACATATATTATCTAGTGTGCAATTAGATTTAAATACAGATTGTAGTGCCTTTCTTATATCCACAGCTTATCTCTTCTTCTGTGGGTTTTCTTGTCAAAAACCTTTCTTACTCAAGTGAGTCTCTGTCATTTGCTATGGGATTGGCCTTTAAAGACAACGGAGTCTCACTCTGTTGCTCAGGCTGGAGTGCAGTGGTGCAATCTCGGCTCACTGCAACCTCTGCCTCCCGGGTTCAAGCGATTCTCCTGCCTCAGCCTCCTGAGTAGCTGGGATTACAGGCGTGTGCCACCACGACCGGCTAATTTTGTAATTTTAGTAGAGACGGGGGGTTTCACCATGTTGGTCAGGCTGGTCTCGAACTCCTGACCTCGTGATCCGCCCGCCTTGGCCTCCCAAAGTGCTGGGATTATAGGCGTGAGCCGCCGCGCCCAGTGGAAACATGGATTACTTCAATTTTCTTCCTTCTGCTTTTCTGTATTTGTTAAATTTCAAATAAAGCAAACCCTGATCCAAAACCTCCTCTAATAAGCGGGGATTGTTTCCCCTAAGGTCGATCTACCCCCTAGCACAGTCCCTAAGGCAGAAGAAGCTGCTCAATGAAGGCTTCTCTTCCTTTTCTTTGGAACTCAAGAGCACCCACGAAGGGGAAGAAATGCTAATTCTGAAAGGAGTCAGGTCCTCCCTTCTGAAAAACGAAGATGACAGCTAGTCCTGGGGGAAGAGGAAATCCCCGCAGGGCTCCCGCCCACCTCCGGACCTTCCTCCAGACACGCGGAATACAGAAGCCCAAGCCCGGCGCCGCGTCACCCCAGCCAGCCTTCTGCGCGTGCGCCCTCCCGCCTCGCGCCCCCCGCCCCGCCCGCCTCGCACCTCCCCCACGCCTCGCACCCACCCCCCGGCCTCGCACCCCCACCGCCCGCCCGCCCGGGAGACTCACAGGCGCGCAGGGCCGCAGGGGTCCCCTCGGCCACTCGTTCTCAAGGCTCCGTGAACGCGCAAGCAAAGACGTCCTTCGAGGGAACCTTTTCTCCTCCTGGCGGACAAGAGTGGAACGACAGGGCTTGAGGAGAAGTTTTGCCAGGTTGGGGGTGACATCTTTTGAAACTTGACCTCGTTTTTTATTTTGTTTGTTTGCTTGCTTGCTTGCTTGAGACGGAGTCTCGCTCTATTGCCCAGGCTGGAGTGCAATGGTGCAGTCTCGGCTCACTGCAACCTCCACCTCCTGGGTTCAAGCGATTCTCCTCCCTCAACCTCCCAAGTAGCCGGGATTACAGGTGCCCACCACCATGCCCGTCTAATTTTTGTATTTTTAGTAGAGACGGGCTTTCACCATGTTGGCCAGGCTGGTCTCGAACTCCTGACCTCATGATCCGCCCGCCTCGGTCTCCTAAAGTGCTGGGATTACAGGCGTGAGCCACTGTGCCTGAGACCTCACCTCGTTTTGCAAGCGCCTCTCTTCTTTCTCAAGGCCTCATATCCGGTTCAGAGTAAAGAAAAAGGGAAGGCACCAACCTTGAGCTCCTAAAATGTGCTAGACCCTTTACATGTATTATCAGTAAATCTTCCCAACAGCTTCATTATTCGTCCTGTTTTGCAGAAAAGGAAATTGAAACTCAGAGAAGGTGACTTACCCAGAGTACCACAGCTAATTAGTGAGACGGCTGGAGCCCAGGTCTGTGTGCTCCAGAGATTCTGACTGCAGCCCTCACCTGTTGGCTCTGGACTTGGAGAAAGGAGAGCTGCTTCTCTGCAGCTGAAGAGGCTCTGCAAGAAGCCCAGAACAGGCAGGGCGCTATAGCTCACGCAGGTAATCCTAGCACTTTGGGAGGCTGAGGTGGGAGGATCACTTGAGCCCATAAGGTTGAGACCAGCCTGGGCAGCATAGCAAGATCACTGTCTCTACAAAAACAAAACAAAACAAAACACAGCCAGAGTCAGGCATGGTGACGCACACCTGTAGTTCCAGCTACTGGGGAGGGTGAGGCAGGAGAATCCCTTGAGCCTAGGAGTTTGAGGCCTCAGTGAACTATAGACCCACCACTGCACTCCACCCTGGGTGACAGAGCAAGACCTTGTCTTTAAGAAACAAAACACAAAACAAAACAAAAACAAAAAAACAGAACAGCTTCCCTGGTCATTTGTAAAGAACCTTTAATGGATTGTACCACAGGGCAAGACTTTCCCAGTTATCTCAAAACATATTCCTTCTCCAGAGATTAAGGTGGGGAGGGCAGGTGGGGGAAGGAATAGGAGGAGTTGAGGTGGAAATTCTCATTGGTGAGGCTGTTGGGGACACAGCAGGATTTGTTTTTTTTTTGTTTTTTTTTTTTTTGAGACTGAGTCTTGCTCTGTCACCCAGGCTGGAGTGCAGTGGCGCAATCTCAGCTCACTGCAACCTCCGCCTCCTGGGTTCAAGCAATTCTGCCTCAGCCTCCTGAGTAGCTGGGATTACAGGTGTGTGCCACTATGCCTAATTTTTATATTTTTAGTAGAGACGGGGGTTTCTCCATGTTGGCCAGGCTGGTCTCGAACTCCTTACCTCAGGTGATCCACCTGCCTTGGCCTCCCAAAGTTCTGGGATTACAGGCATGAGCCACCGCGCCTAGCTGTTGGGGGCATGGCAGGTTAATGTCAGCTCCTACAACTGTGAAATTGTTGAGGGATGAGAGAAGCAGTTTCTACAACTCACATCTAGTGACCAGGCTTTTAGATGAAATGTACTATCCCAATGATGCCACAGTCTCCTCCTGCCTTTCAGTAGAGACAGAAGTGGGTAGCAGGAGTGAGAACACTCCTGTACAAGGCAGAGGCTGCTGGCCTTTGACCTGGAGAGATGGACACTATGCCAACCTTAACTGAGTAGCCGGAGCTGTTAATGAGGCAGCAGAGTACCAGAGGTGCAGGGAGAGCCTGTCAGCCAGATTAAGTAGGATATTTAAAGCCAGCCTGCCTTGGGTAGTGTTTAAAACCTATTGGTACAGGAAGCAGGACCTTAGTGACATCCAGGGGACCACAGACTCTGAAGGAAGAAGATGATGGTGCAAGCGTTGTCTGTGACTTGTCAGGAGTGGCAACCTTTGGGCATGATGAGTGAAACCTATTCACGGTCCACCTGAACCAAAATGGCATCCAGTAGCTATGGACACTAACTCTTTAAAAGGGAAAAGAAGGCTACTTTTAGGGCCAGGTGCGGTGGCTCACGCCTGTAATCCTAGCATTTTGGGAGGCCGAGGCAGGTGGATCACGAGGTTAAGAGATCAAGACCATCCTGGTCAACACGGTAAAACCCCGCCTCTACTAAAAATACAAAAATTAGCCGGACATGGTGGCACGCGCCTGTAATCCCAGCTACTCGGGAGGCTGAGGCAGAAGAATCGCTTGAACCTGGGAGGCAGAGGTTGCAGTCAGCCGAGATTACACCACTGCACTCCAGCCTGGCGACAGAGCAAGGCTCTGTCTCAAAAATAAAATAAAAATAAATTAATAAAATAAAATAAAAGGGAAAAGGTGACTGGCTCACGCCTATAATCCCAGCATTTTGGGAGGCAGACATGGATGGATTGCTTGAGCTCCGAAGTTCCAGATCACCCTGGGCAGCATGACAAAACCCTGCCTCTAGAAAACTACAAAAAATTAGCTGGGCATGGTGGCATGCACCTGCAGTCTCAGCTGCTCAGGAAGCTGAGGTGGGAGGATCACTTGAGCCTGGGAGGTTGAGGCTGTAATAAGCTGTGATGGCACCACTGTACTCCAGCCTGGGCGACAGAGTGAGATTCCTTCTCGAAAATAAATAAAAGTTAAAAAAAAAAAAAAAAAAAAAAGGCCAGGCATGGTGGCTCATGCCTGTAATCCCAATACTTTGGGAGGCTGAGGTGGGCGGATCACTTGAGGTCAGGAGTTCAAGACCAGCCTGGCTAACATGCCAAAACCCCATCTCTACTAAAAATACAAATATTGGTCGGGCATGGTGGCACATGCCTGTAATCCCAGCTACTTGGGAAGCTGAGGCCGGAGAATCGCTTGAACCCGGGAGGCGGAGGTTGCAGCGAGCGGAGATCATGCCACTGCACTCTAGCCTGGGCGACAAGAGCAAAACTCCATCTCAAAAAAAAAAAAAAAAAGGTTGGGGGGAGAACAATTTCAAACCAAACCAAATTTGAAGCTCTGAATATAGAAAGGTATAAATAAGACTGGTGGAGAAAAAATGTATTTGATCCCCAAATTTATTCAAGATACAAAAGTTCCAGGTGACAACAACAACAAAAAACATGTCTAAAAGAATAACCAACATATGTCGGTATGGTGTGAGAAGCTAAAAATAAAATAGTAACCAACAAAAGGAAAGCAGCTCCAAAGAAAGACAATGAAGAAAAGCAAATTAATTTCCAAGAAAACCAAGGATGACAGTGTAGAAATGTCAAGACGGAGTGAGCTAGAAAACTGAGATTGTTTGGGTGACTTCTCATGATTCCAGAGGAGGCCCACGAAATAGCTGCTGTCACTCACAGGACAGCCTGGGCAATTTGAGAGGGAACAGAAACTAGACGCAAGTTCATGAAATGCCTGGGAAGATTGAATTTGAGGAGAAGGCCCCATGGATTCTAAGCGAGGTGATGGTGATGTCTGATGTTCTTTTTATTTTTATATATACATTTTTAAGACAGGGTCTCCTGGTGGTGCAATCACAGGTCACCGCAGCCTTGACCTCCCAGGCTCAAGCGATCCTCCCACCTCAGCCTCCCAAGTAGCTACAGGTGTGAGCCAGTACACCCGGCTAATTTATATATTTTTGTAGAGACAGGGTCTTGTTATGTTGCCCAGGCTGGTCTCAAACTCCTGAGCTCAAACAGTCCTCCCGCCTCCGCCTCCCAAAGTGCTGGGATTACAGACATAAACCACCGCACCCAGCCAATACTTGATGGCCTAGAGGGGTGAGATGGGGTTTGGGCTTTAGTTATGTTGACCTGGGTTGGAATCCTAACTTTGCCACTTAAGAACTGTCTGAATTTGGGCAACTCATTAATCTAAACCAACCTCAGTCTTCAGGAGCCAGGCACGGTGGCACATGCTTGCAGTACCAGCTGCTTGGCTTGGGAGGCAGGATTGCTTGAGCCCAGGAGTTCGAGTTCAGCCTGGGCAACATAGCAAGATCTTGATTCTAAAAAAATAAATAAATAGGCTGGGCGTGGTGGCTCACGCCTGTAATCCCAACATTTTGGGAGGCAGAGGCGGGTGGATCACCTGAGGTCAGGAATTCGAAACCAGCTTGGACAACATAGTGAAACCCTGTCTCTACTAAAGATACAAAAAATTAGCCGGGTGCGGTTGTGGGCGCCTGTAATCCTAGCTACTCAGGAGGCTGAGGCAGGAGAATCGCTTGAACCCAGGAAGCGGAGGTTGTAGTGAGCCAAGATTGTGCCATCGCACTCCAGCCTAGGCAACAGAGCGAGACTCCGTCTCAAAAAATAAATAAATAAAAATAAATAAACAAAACCTCAGTCTTCCCATCTGAAAAATGCAGACAAAAGACCTATTTTACCGGGGTACTTTAAAGACTAAATCAAATGCATATGGAATGCCGGCACAGGTAGCACAGATGAAAAATAAACAGGCACTACTCTGAATAAAATCTAAGTAAAGTTTGCCCACAGTATTATTTTTGATTTTTATTTTTTGTAGAGATGGGGGGGGCAGTCTCACTATGTTGCCCAGGCTGGTCTCAAATTCCTGGCCTCAAGTGATGCTCCCACCCTAATATTCCAAAGTGTTGGGATTACGGGTGTGAGCCACTGTGCCTGGCCCGTGCACATTATTAAAGACTGACTTGGAAGGCTGGATATGTGGATTTTTTTTTTTTTTTTTTTTTGAGAGAGTCCCACTCTTGCCCAGGCCAGAGTGCTGTGGTGCCTTCACAGCTCACCACAGCCTCAATCTCCATGGGCTCAGGTGATCTTCCTACCTCCCTAGTAGCTGGAACTACAGGTACACACCACCACACCCAACTAGTTTTTCTATGTTTTGTAGATACAGGGTTTCACTATGTTGCCCAGGCTGGTCTCGAACTCCTGGACTCAACTGATCCTCCTGCCTCAGCCTCCCAAAGTGCTGGGATTACAGGTGTGAGCTTCTGTGCCCAGCCATAAGTGGATTTTTAAAATTATGGATAATATACATTTACATAAGTCAAGGTCTTTAGGGAAAAATAATCCGTCTTTTAAATTAGCAAGCTATTTTTCTCATCTCAAACCCCACAGCATTCTCGGTAACACTCAACTCAGCTCCCTCTGACCTCCAGAAAACTTGGTATTCTATCATTTTCTTGCTCACATTGAGTCTCCCTGGCCAGATTTTAAACTGCTCAAGCAAACACTGTTGCCAAACCATCCATTACATTCCAGATCTTGAGTCACTGTCAACAGGTCTGTGAAAACCTGGCAGTCAGAGGTGTCAAAGTAAAGGCAGGAGCATCAGGGTGTGGAAACCTAGAGTAAACCTAATCGTTCCTTCGCCCAGAGCCGTGGTTTGGCTGCAGTTGGGATATCTATGGTTTTGGCTGGAGACTGACCCCAGGAAGCTGTGAAGCAGTAGCTCAGAGCTTCAAGTGGGTCAAAGTGTTTTCCTGAGAACAGGATGAAAATGTGGGGACTCCAGAGTCTGGCAAGCCAAAGGCAGTGCTGTAGTACAATCTAACCTGCAAAATCCTGGCAATGTGGCATAGTCAAGGGCTCGCTGCCTCAAGCCAGAACATTAAAACAAGCAGGCAACAAACAGTTTTTTAATTTTTCTTGAAATGGAGTCTCGCTCTGTCGCCCAGGCTGGAGTGCAGTGGCGCAATCTCAGCTCACTGCAAGCTCCGCCTCCCAGGTTCATGCCATTCTCCTGCCTCAGCCTCCTGAGTAGCTGGGACTACAGGCCCCCGCCACCATGCCCGGCTAATTTTTTTATTTTTATTTTTAGTAGAGATGGGGTTTCACCATGATAGCCAGGATGGTCTCGATCTCCTGACCTCGTGATCCACCTGCCTCGGCCTCCCAGTGCTGGCATTACAGGCGTGAACCACTGCGCCTGGCCAACAAACAGTCTTAACACAAATAAAATAACGACTGGGAACAATGATGTAGCCTGCCAGAAGGCAGGTAACACAACCAGGATGAAAACAATCAGGTAAGCGCAGTATGCTTGCCCAACCCATTCACTATCAAGAGAAACTGGCTGCTTGGGAGACCTTTCAAGTAAGTTAGGTGACTTAAAGCAGAACTCCTCTGTACCCCACAAATCCTTCTGTATCTGTCAGCAACAGCCAGTTAAGCATTGACAGGCTGGCGGTCCCTCTACCTCCCCTCGCATCCCCGCTTCTGTGCTTTGTCCATAACAGACAGTGGTGCTGCTGGCACAGACTGAGACACTGGGTAAGCAAACATGAAAGCAGGGGAGGCCGGGCGCGGTGGCTCACACCTGTAATCCCACCACTTTGGGAGGCCAAGGTGGGCGGATCACTTGAGGTCATCAGGAGTTCGAGACCAGCCTGGCCAATATGGTGAAACCTCGTCACTACAAAAAAAACAGTAATGAGCCGGGCGTGGTGGCACATGCCTGTAATCCCAGCTACTCAGGAGGCGGAGGCTGCAGTGAGCCAAGACTGTACCTCCAGCCTGGGCAACAAAGCAAGACCCTGTCTCCCAAAAAAAAAAAGCGGGGAAAAGATCGGGCTGCGCACCCTGAAGGAAGAGACAGGAGGGTGAAGTTCAGGAAGACAAGATGGAAACATTCTTATATCCAGATCTGGGTGGTGCCTGCACAGAGCACACATACAATACTTCACTGATAAGTATGCTTAAGACCTGTGCCATTGCCTTATATAACCTACACCTCCATGAAAACCCAAAACAAACAGGCCACAAGCTCCCTGTTTGCTATCCTTTATTAAAGGGCCCACATCCTCATGGGACTCCAGCCAAACCAGTCAGGTCCCCCAAATATAGCAGGAGGCCTGGAAGGGGAGGGGAATGACTTATGATCCTACCATGCCTCCCAAGAAACAGAAACCACCACAGACAGACAGACAGACGGACAGGGGCTGGGGAGAACTTGCCTCACTCTCAGTCCTCTCCCACTTTCCCCCACTTGAAAAGAAAGTCAAACACTGGCTACGCAGCACCCCAGCCCCCCACCCCACCCATAGCAGCGTTTGTGGGACACACCCCCTTTGCAAGGGGTGGCCCCGAGGCAGCTTCCTATCTCTCTCTTCACTTTGGTTTGCTCCTGGCAACTCCGTGCCCTCTTCCTTTCCTCAGCCTCCGGCTCGGTCTCCCCCTTGTCTTCTATCACCTACTCGGACCTTCTCTCTCATCTCCTGGGCCTCCCTGCCCCAGCACTTCTGGGGAAGCAGCGTCTCGGGCGTCTTCCCTTCTCCTAGCAAGGGGCCCCACCAGGCCCTCTGCCCAGGATGTGGGACTCACACAGCTGCCCCACTCTCCTTGAGGTCAGGGGCAGAACGCTGCCGTCTCATTCGTGGGGGAGTAGTGTATGGGGGGTAGCGGGGCCCTGGGGGCCGCTGGGCTGGGTAGGGTTGGGGTGGCTGGGGATAAGAGTTGTGCTTTTTGGGCTGGAAGTGCTGGGGTTCAGGCTGTGCAGAACCCGCTCCCCGGGATCGGCCCCCTCCATCCAGGGAGTTCCTGCGGGGATGGTGGGACCTTCGGGGACTCGGAGGCCGGCGGGCAGGGGTGGCTGGATGGGGAGTGACCTCCTCAGGGGGTTGGAGCGGAGTTGGAGCCTCCCCGCTCCCCATCCCTGGCCAAGACTCCCGGTGCTGGGGGTTGCTCTTGAAGGGGAAGCGTAGCTTGCAGTCGTGAGGGGGCACAAAGCGGGCTGGGGGCCTGCGCAGCCCCCCGCCCCGGCCCCCAGAGCCCTGCAGTCCCTGCAGCCGTAGCTGCTCCTGCTTGAGCCAGCGAAGACGACCACGACGGAAGGCAGGGTCCTCCTCCATGAGCCGTGACACCCGCTCCCAGCTTGACAGTGGTGGCGAGGGGGGCCGGGCTGACGGCATGCGGTCACTGGGGGCTGCCTCCTCTGCTGCCTCTGATCCTTCAGGCGGGGCCCAGGGGACCTCACCACCTTCTTCATTCTCATCCTCATGATCCTGGGAGGGAGGAGTGAGAAAAGGAGAAGGGATGTGAGGAGAGCTGAATCCTCAGGACATGTGGATTCAAGAGGGACCTGGAGTGGCTGGATGTCAAAGGGTCCAGAGAAAAGCCTAGAGATAAGGAAGCTCGAAAAATAGTGGTTTAGGGCCGGGCGCAGTGGCTCACGCCTGTAATCGCAGCACTTTGGGAAGCTGAGGTGGGCGGATCACAAGGTCAAGAGATCAAGACCATCCTGGCCAACATGGTGAAACCCCGTCTCTACTAAAATACAAAAAAAAAAAATTAGCCGGGTGTGGTGGTGCGCGCCTGTAGTCCCAGCTACTCAGGAGGCTGAGGCAGGAGAATGGCTTGAACCTGGGAGGCGGAAGTTGCAGTGAGCCGAGATTGTGCCACTGCACTCCAGACTGGCAACAGAGCAAGACTTCACCTCAGAAACAAAACAAAACTGCAAACTTTATATCAGTGGGTCTTAGACTTCACTGTATTTCAGAAACACCCAGAGCTTATTATAAATGCAGATTTGTCCCCAAAGATGTGGATTCAGTAGGTCTGGGGTGGAACCCGGGAATCTATTTTAATTAGCAGCCTGGTGACAGCGAGGCATGTGGTTCGTAAACAATATTGAAAAAAACGTACTATACTTCAATGCAATTTTTTCCAGACTTGGGGAAGGTTAGGCTCTGAGATGGAAGGTTCAGACTCCTAAAGTGAAGAGCCGAGGGAGGAGAGAAGGGAGGCAGAAGGCCAGTCCTACCTGGGCCAGGGGGATGACCCTCTCCATGCGGAGCATGCGGTCCCGCAGGGCCTGCAGCTCCCGGTCCTTGCTGCTGTTCTGCAGCTTCACCTCCTGCAGAATCCCCGTCAGCTTGTCGATGTGGGCCCGGAGGTCCTCCACCTCCGCCCCTCGGGCTCCCTCCTCACTGCCACCACCACTGCCAGCTCCACCTCCTTCCTCCTCGCCTACAGTGTCCCAGACATCCCGGGCCACAGCCCTCCAGGCGTCTCCGGGGCCGTCTGGCTTGCCATAGGTGCGACACAGCTCCCGCATCTTGAGGGCGGCCAGGGCCTCAATCTCAGCCCGCCCGTGGCGGAAGTCAGCCAGGGCCACCTCGTAGCAGATCTCCTTCACCGCCTGCATCTTCAGGTCAGCCATGGTGGCCCAGCGGGGGTCTTTGCCCTGCAGCCTGCGTCGCTGGGGGATCTGATAAACCCTGCGAGGGGCCCTGCGCTTGCCACTGCTGGGCAGACCACAGCGTTTGACAATGGTCTGGACCGTGGTGGGCGGCAGCTGCTCCCGCAAGGAGGAGATGAGCCTCCAGCTCTCTTCACAAGAGCGCTTGTCAGAGTCATCCCCGCTGTCCGAGTCTGCATACTGGGGCCAGAGAAAGAAAGAGGAAGAGAGGGCTAAGGACATCCAGAGCCCATGTGTCTTGGCCCAGTGTGTCCTAAGTACACTGGAAACACGCCCATCAGGGAGCCTGGGTTCAAGTCCTGCTCCACCCCAACAGCGCACCCTTGGGCAGACTGCTTAACGCTGCTCTTCTAGACAACAGAGATAGTGACGGGATCTACCTCCCAGATCCACGTGGAGTACTTAGAACCATGGCCGGCACCGAGAAAGTTACCATAAGTATTAGTTGTAGCTAATCGAGTGTGGAACTTTGTGCAAGACTTAAAAGACCATTGAGGGGTGGTGGCTCGTGCCTGCAATCCCAGCATGTTGGAAGGCCAAGGCAGGAGGATCACTTGAGCCCAGGAGCTGAAGACCAGCCTGGGTAATGTAGTGAGACCCCCACCTCTACAAAAAATAAAAAATGTAGCCAGGCATGGAAGTGCACACCTGTGATCCCAGCTACTCAGGAGGTTGAGGTGGAAGGACTGCTTGAACCCAAGGAGTTCGAGGCTGCAGTGAGCTATGATCAGGCCACTGCACTCCAGCCAGGGTGACAGAGCAAGATCCTGCCTCAAAAACAAAATAGAAAGTCCATGGCCGGGTGCGGTGGCTCATGCCTGTAATCCCAGCATTTTGGGAGGCTGAGGCAGGCGGATCACCTGAGGTCAGGAGTTCGAGACCAGCCTGGCCAACATGGTGAAACCCTGTCTCTACTAAAAATACAATAATTATTAGCCAGGCATGGTGGCGGGCTCCTGTAATCCCAGCTACTGGGGAGGCTGAGGCATGAGAATCGCTTGAACCCAGGAGGCGGAGGCTACAGTAAGTCGAGATCATCCCACTGCGTTCCAGCCTGGGTGACAGGAGACTCCATCTCCAAAAAAAAAAAAAAAAAAAAAAACCACAACAATCTTAATACCAACACAGGTGGTACTTGGATATGGTGAAAATCATAAACTTGGCACGAGAAACTGGAGTATGGGAAGGCCTGGTCAACTGGAGGAATCTTCCTTCCTTCCTCACAATGGATTCTTCCTGTAGTCACATCTCTCTCCTGGCTTTTTCCTCTTGGACCCTTCCCCTTACCCCCATGCCCATTTCCCACTCTGGCTCAGCGGTGAGCACTGCACTCGGACTCAGGCTTGCGGCTCATCTGCCCATCAGCCCATCCCCAGCCCCTGCTGCCCCTCACCAGTCGCTGCTGCTCCAGCAGAAGATCGGCTTCTTCCTTTTCTTTCCGGTACTGATTCTCCAGATCCTGCAGCCTGGGATTGGACAGGGAGGGAAGGAAGAGCAACCTTGGTGAGTATCTGACAAGAGGAGGACACGGGCCCAGAGGCCCGGGAGGGACGGCCTAGACGGCCATGGGGCACGTGGGTAACCCCCTCGCACCTCTTCTCCATTTCCAGCTTTATGTCGATGCCTTGCTGCTCCAGCAGTTCCTTCTGGGCAAAGTTCCAGTCGACTGGCTCAGAGGGCGGTCCTGGGGGTGGGGGGACCCCTCGTTCCCGTTCCAGCCTTGCCTGCTCCGGGTGGTTGAAGCGGAAAACGTGGTTCTTGCCCATCACAATCCTATTCCCTAGAGATGGGAGGAGGGAAAAGTAAACTCGCTTCCCATCAGCACCAAATCCATCCCTACACCCAAGGCATAGAGAATCTGGCACAGGGGCTGTGACACCCTCCCCTTCATCACCCCAAGTCTGAAGGCAGTTGGAGCCTATGCTCCCCTGGCTGACACCCAGGGACCAACCCCATTCTTGTCAACCAAAGGGAATTGCAAGAGCTTGGCATCCTCTTCCTGTTCCCTGGGGCGGAAAGAGAAACCAAGACCTGACTCCTTGACCTTCACTTCCCAGTTCCTTCTTTATATCCCCGTGCTATTTCTGATGTATTTCAGGGTCCTCCTCTAGGATGCACCCAGAAGGACCTCCCTTGAGACTTCCTACACACAGCCACGCCCCAGAACCCTCAATCTGCGACACATCTTCTACCTGACTTCAGCACCAGCGGCTCCGTCACAAGCTTCCCATTCACATATGTCTCAGCTCCTTCACAAGGCTCCAGAGTGACCACCACTGAATGGAGGGGCAGAGGAAGGGGAAAGATTAGACCCTGGAGGAAGGTGGGTCATGGTCACAGATTCCCACCTTGCCTTACCCCAAAAAACCACACATGCACCACCAGTCCCACCCCCAGTACCTGTAGGGGGTGCCATGGCCCCTCTGGTGGCAGGCAGCACGGGAAAGGAAGAGCAGAAGGAGGGTTAGAGCCCCAACTACAATTCCCAGAAGCCTCTGCAGTGGCTCCTGACTCACCCACCTCTATCCTCCCCAGCAGCAGCTTAGAAAACCAGTAATTGTCAAAAGGATTCATTCCTCATGTTTAACTGCTCAGAGGCCCTGTCATTTCTGCCTTCCAGATGTCCATTCCTACCTTTCCCACTGACATTATCCCTGGTGGGGCCTGGGCTCCTCCAGCAGGCTTGTAGCCCACCCCTCTGCCTCATGCATCTTGCAAACTGCCACCTGACTCATCTTCTCAAGCCACAGCTGACATGTGACAAGAGAAAGTCAACCCAACCCAAACATCCATCTAGCTGCTCCTCAGTACAAATCACTGAGCCTGCCAGTTTCTGGGGACGCGAAGATGCACGAGGCAGCTCCCTGTCCTCGAGGAGCAGTGGCCATTGCCGCAGAGGAACCCTGGTATCCCAAAGGCCCAGGCTCTGCAGCTCCTTAGCCAGGGATGCTGAACAAGTCAATTTAACTTCTGTGATATTCTATAAGATGGGATAATGAAGTCTGAATGAAGAGTGGTTAGAAGGCCCAAAAAAGTAAACCATAAAATAACATGCAAACATGTGTTTTATTATTATAATACTTATACTGGAAGTAATAGAGAAACACAGAAACTGGGATGAACTATAATATCAGGCAGGGATGGGGACAACGGATGCTGCTGGGAGAACAAGGAGAGCAGAGGACTCAGCTTAGGAGCAGAGGGAGACTCAGAAGCCGATGGGGAGAGGGGCAGCCAAGGGCATCACGGTGGGTCGGGGAAACAGCAGCAGCAGAGGTGGACAGCAGGACGGGATGCGGGTGCCTAGAGGGGGTGCCATCTATCCCCACCTTTTCTTCATTTCCCATCATGCCACAAAATTCATTTATTGATTCAAACCCACATATGCCACACTCCTACTATCTTCCAAACACTATTTTACTAGGTCTCAGAAATACATTGGTGATATAAAACAAAAAATCCCTGCTCTCATAGAGCTTACTTCTGTCTGGTAAGACAGACAATAAACAAGATAATCTAAAGTCATTTAATCGTGATGGATGGCTTTTCTTTTTTCTTTTTTTTTTTTGAGATGGAGTTTCACTCTTGTTGGAGTGAAACTCTTGTTGGAGGCTGGAGTGCAATGGTGCGATCTCAGCTCACTGCAACCTCTCCTCCTGGGTTCAAGCAATTCTCCTGCCTCAGCCTCCTGAGTAGCTGGGATTACAGGCATGCACCACCACACCTGGCTAATTTTGTATTTTTAGTAGAGACGGGGTTTCTCCATGTTGGTCAGGCTGGTCTCCAACTCCTGACCTCAGGTGATCCACCCGCCTGACCTCAGGTGATCCGCCCGCCTTGGCCTCCCAAAGTGCTGGAATCACAGGCATGAGCCACTGTGCCTGGCCAGATGCCATTTATTAAAACTAAAAGAAGAGGGGGGGAAAAAGGCATTTAATTCTATTAATATTTTTAAAAGCAGATAATCTAAAGTCCTCTCTAAAGGGAATAGGGTTGGGCACAGTGGCTCACGCCTGTAATCCCAGCACTTTGGGAGGCCGAGGCAGGTGGACTGCTTGAGCTCAGGACTTTGAGACCAGCCTGGGCAACACAGTAAAACCCTGTCTGTACGAAAAGTACAAAAATTAGCCAGGTGTGGTGGCACAGGTCTGTAGTCCCAGCTACTCAGGAGGCTGAGGTGGGGGGATCACTTTAACCCGGGAGGTTGAGGCTACAGTGAACCATGATCATGCCACTGCACTCTAGCCTGGGTGACAGGGCAAGACCCTGTCTCAAAAAATAAAAATGAAAATGAAAATAAAAAAGGAGGGAATACGTGTTATGCAGGGAAAGTGGGGCTGGGTGAGAAGACTGCTCCAGCTTGGCCCAGGCAGCCTTACCCTGAACCCATGATAATCTGACAGTCTAGGGCAGAGCTCACAGCACAGCCCCTGGTGCCTGCCATCCTGTGTCTGAATCCAGTTCTGCCATTTTGTGTCATCTTTTGCAAATCACCTAACCCCCGAGAGCCTCAGTTCTCTCACCTGTGAGCTGTGTGAGAAAATGCGGACGCACAGAGTAGATGGTCAGTAAAAACCATTCTTCTACATCCATACCTGTCTGTGCTGCCCCCGTCCTCTCTGCCTGTTTCTGGCCAGGTCTTAAATCTGCTGTTAAGAACTGAGGCCCAGGCTGGGCGCGTGGCTCACGCCTATAATCCCAGCACTTTGGGAGGCCGAGGCGGGTGGATCATGAGGTCAGGAGATTGAGACCATCCTGGCTAACACGGCGAAACCCCGTCTCTACTAAAAATACAAAAAAATGAGCCGGGTGTGGTGGTGGGGGGGCGCCTGTAGTCCCAGCTACTCAGGAGACTGAGGCAGGAGAATGGCGTGAACCCGGGAGGCAGAGCTTGCAGTGAGCCGAGATCGCGCCACTGCACTCGAGCCTGGGCGACAGAGCGAGACTCCGTCTCAAAAAAAAAAAAAAAAAAAAAAAAGAACCAAGGCCCACAGGGACTAAACCATCACAATCCCCACCCTTGGCAACACAGAATCATTGGCTGCCTTTACTGTGACCTATGTCAGTCTTGCACACGGGTGTCATCTCTCCGCACTGTAGCTCCTTGCCCATGGGCTGGCTCTGCTGAGGTGTATTTTTGGTGGCCTGTATGGCTTTCATATCTCCCCCAGCAAATGGCTTGAGGTTGCCGCAGAACAGGAACTTGGCAATAACTCACTGGGCTGAACTGATTCAACAGCTTTCAACCCAAAATGCCGGAAGCATTTGCTGTCACTGAGGACTTGAACCAGACCAGAACAACTGCCTTGATTGGCTGACCCTGAACCATATGGAAACCGAAGAGGCATGTCTTTTTTTTTTTTTTTTTGAAACAGTCTCACTCTGTCACCCAGGCTGGAGTGCAGTGGCGCAATCTCAGCTCACTGAAACCTCCACTTCCCAGGTTCAAGCAATTCTCCTGTCTCAGCCTCCTAAGTAGCTGGGATTACAAGCGTTCGCCACCATGCCCAGCTAATTTTTTTGTACTTTTAGTAGAGACGGGGTTCCACCATGTTGGCCAGGCTGGTTTCAAACTCCTGACCTCAAGTGATCCACCCACCTCGGCCTCCCAAAGTGCTAAGATTACAGGCATGAGCCACCCCACCAGCCCCAAGAGGTATGTCTTAAACCTCACTGTAAGACGCACATGATAGCGTCTTTTGTTATTTTTTAAAATGTGCTGGCCGGGTGCGGTGGCTCACGCCTGTAATCCTGGCACTTTGGGAGGCCGAGGCAGGTGGATCACAAGGTCAGGAGTTCAAGACTAGCCTGACCAACATGGTGAAACCCTGTCTCTACTAAAAATACAAAAATTAGGGCTGGGTGTGGTGGCTCAAGCCTGTAATCCCAGCACCTTGGGAGGTCAAGGCAGGAGGATCACCTGAGGTTGGGAGTTGGAGAAACCCTGTTTCTACTAAAAATACAAAATTAGCCGGGTGTGGTGGCGCACACCTGTAGTCCCAGCTACTCGGGAGGCTGAGGCAGGAGAATTACTTGAACCCGGGAGGCAGAGGTTGCAGTGAGTCGAGATCGCACCACTGCACTCCAGCCTGGACGACACAGCGAGACTCCATCTCAAAAAAAAAAAAAAAGTGCTGACCATACACACCCCAGGTCCCTTGTCCCCTGGAAGGTGTTAGGCCAAGCACTCCTAGGTCTCTGAGGCACAACACACACACCAGGTCCAAGCTGACAGACAGCACATGTGTACCACGTCCTTCCTCCCTGCCCAACTCATTTTCACAGAGACTTTGCTTGAGCTTATGTGAACCCAAATCATTCTATTTTTTTTTAAGTGTTAGAACTAAAACAAACTGGTGGCCTCAAAAATACACCTCAGCAGGTGCAGTGGCTCACGCCTGTAATCCCAGTGCTTTGGGAGGCCAAGGTGGGCGGATCACATGAGATCAGGAGTTCAAGACCAGTCTGACCAACATGGTGAAACCCCGTCTCTACTAAAAATACAAAAATTAGCCTGGTGTGGTGGCGCGTGCCTGTAATCCCAGCTACTCGGGGTTGAGGCAAGAGAATCACTTGAACCTGGGAGGTGGGGGCTGCAGTGAGCCAAGATCATGCCACTGCACTCCAGCCTGGGGGAAACAGTGAGACTCCGTCTCAAATGATAAAAAAAAAAAAAAAAAAAAAAAAAAGCTGGGGGCAGTGGCTCACGCCTGTAATCCCAGCACTTCGGAAGGCCGAGGCAGGCGGATCACCTGAGGTCAGGAGTTCGAGACCAGCCTGACCAACATGGGAGAAACCCCGTCTCTACTAAAAACACAAAATTAGCCAGGCATGGTGGCACATGCTTGTAATCCCGGCTACTCGGGAGGCTGAGGCAGGAGAATTGCTTGAACCCGGGAGGTTGAGGCTGCAGTGAGCCCAGATCGCGCCATTGCACTCCAGCCTGGGCGACAAGAGCGAACACTCCGTCTCAAAAAAAAAAGAAAAAGAAAAAGAAAAAGAAAAAGAAATCTCGGCAGTCATAGCTGGATAGAGGCAGGTTTTCCACAGGGACAAGTTCCGATATTCAAATACAGGTTTTTGTTTAAAAAGGATCAGAGTGCTAGTTGTGGTGAACAAGATCAAGAAGGGCAGGATCTTCTCTTCAGCAAAATCCCACACTCTGGCTCACTAGTGTCCCATTTCTACCTTAGAACCCTCGCCAGTGCCTGACCACACAGTAGTCTGTCTTCTCAGGGTGGGTGCAGAGGGCTGGGCCTGTGGTATTCCTCCATTCATACCCATGAGCCCCAAGCCCCTCTGAGGACAAGGCCACATCCCCTCTTTATATGGCTGCACTCCCTGGTGCCCAACCCAGACCTCTGAGTTCAGTGTGTGGGGTGGAACATGGGGCCTCTCTCCCTGTCTGGCCTCTCTCACCCCCTCAGCCATTACCTTCTCCATCTGGCTGGGGGATGCTCCGGAACAGACAGTGTTGCTCCCGAATGAACTGTCCGGTCAGCTTGATGTCCATATCTACTTGGCCGACCCTGGGGAAGCAATGGCCAACGTTTGTGAGCATGTGCCAGACTTTAACCAAGCCCCTCCTGAACACCAGTTTATCCAACTCAATGAACCAAGCCAATTATTCCCATTTCACAGATGAGGAAGCAGAGGCTCAGGGAGGTGAAATGGCTTGCCCGGGTTCATTCAGTGGGCAGTGAAGTGATGCTGGGATCTGAGCCCAGGTCTGCCTGACTCTGAAGCCATGCTCTTAGTCACCATGTTATACAGCAGGCTCGCCAACTTCTCTTGAAGCTGGGAGAGCATGCAGGGCTGTGGAGGCAGCTGTTTAGAGATCTGAGTTATCTCCAGGGACCACCAGGGAAGGGAGGCACCAATGTGGCTAACCCTCAGCAGCCATACCCCAAAAGCAGAGGCTGCCCCCCGGGCCACTGGGTACATGCTACCTGGGTACAAGCAAACCTGGGAGAAACGGGCACCCTCAGCCACAGGCCTCCACCCATCCTTAGGTTGATGATCCTGAGAGCTCACTCCCTACCCAAGATGACTACCAAGGACAGCCACGAATGCCTGTGGTGGGAGGGGAAGGGCACCCTCACCCCTTTAGGGGAGGCACCGAGCCCCCATGACTTCATAATACCAGCCCAAGGAGCCACATGCCCTTAGCTGCCCAGCCCTCAACCGCACAGACCAGGCCGTGTTTCCCTTCTCCCGCCCCCAGGGAAGGCCCCACCAAGGGAGGCCAAGGCAATGGCATCAGGGTCTAAGAATGAGGGGGTCTATGTTTCCCAACTCTCCTGCCCCAGTAAACAAGGTTGTCTCGCCCTAACCAAACTGGCAGGTGGAGGCAAGACAGCCACTGAGCAGGCACGCTTCTCTTGAAGCTGGGAGAGCGTGCAGGGCTGTGGAGGCAGCTGTTTAGAGATCTGAGGTATCTCCAGGGACCACCAGGGAAGGGAGACACCAATGTGGACAACCCTTGGCAGCCACACCCCAAAAGCAGAGGCTGCCCCCCAGGCCGCTGGGTACACGCTACCTGGTGACGCCATCTTTGATGTGGTAGAGCAGACACTCAGACATCAGAGGGTCTTCGTTCAGGTTCACCAGGTGGGGAGTCTAAGCGGGGAGAGAAAGGTGGTCAGGGGGAGCCAGCCAGGGGTGCTATAGAAAGGAAGAAAGGGAGCGGTGGGAGGAGACACCCCTCCAGTCCTGGCACTGCCAGCTGCGCCCCCTCACTCTGGAGAGCTCTCCTGCCCTCTGTACTCCTCCCATCGTCATCCCTCCACCCCGATGACGTTCTTTGGTTCCCACCTCTCACACCAACCGCCTTCAGGACAGCCTGATCCACCCTCTCCTCACACAAGGGGCCGACAAAAATTGCCCCACCCATCCAGCTGCATCCAGGTCAGCAACCCTTCCCAAGGCCTGTCTCTTCAGAAGCACCTCGACCCACCAGGCTCCCTCACCAGAAGCCCCGGACCCCCTGCATTCTCTTCTTCCCTATATTCCTCTGTCTCAGGTCCCATCATTTCTTTCCTCAAAATGTACCTTGCAGCTTCTGGAGAGTTGGGGGAGACTGAGTGAGCAGACTGGTACTCCCCACCTTTCATCAACCTTGAATTTCCTACACACATGAATTACTTTCACAATTTAAAAATAAAAAGTGTCACTTCAACTTAAAAGCAAATGGAACAAACATGTTTCTCGAAGCAGACTCATTGACTCTTCCCCAGTGACTACCCCTCCCTGGGCTGCTTCACCTCAAGCCTGGGTCCCTGCAGCACCCGCCTGGGGCTGTCCCTGCCTAAGGCCCCCAGCCAAGTCCATCCTGAACACCTGAGTGATTGTTACGCTGCTCTGTGCTGAAAACCCGGCCCATTCCCTTCTCCCACAGCACCTTCTCCTGACTTGTTTCCATTATAACAGCCCTGCCCTTGCTGGGCAGTACTCTGGATGGCGTACAGGCGACGCTGCCTCTGTACCCCCATTCATGCCACTGCTGCCACGCCTGGGGAAGTCTCCCTTCCTGCCAGCTGCTGCCGTGCCACACACCTCTCCATCCCTCGGCACCACCCTGCACCAGGCCCACCTGCCTTCCTGCCACCCCTTAGGTCTCCCAGCTTCCTGCCCACACCTCGCTATGGCCATGTCTTTGCCTCTCTGCTGAGACCTCTCCAGCTGGAACCCCAGGCCCGCTGGACTTGAGCCTACTTTTTCCCCTGGCATCCCTGGGCCTCCTCCATGTCCCGGCTCCAGTCCATCTGTCCAAGCCCCCCTCCCAGGCTCTCTCCCAGACTCTGTACTTCCACTCAGCGGACCCCTGAGCACTCCCTCCAAAGTAGGCCTCCTGCATCCCTGACTGCCAATGTCCCCAACAACAGACCGCCTCCCGCCCCGCCCCCACCTGCCAAAATCATTCACTTCCTTCACGTTCCTCCCAGTCTGTCTGAAATGCAACTTCCTCCGGGAAGTTTTCCTAAGCCTTCCATCAGAACACAAGACCCCTGCCTCTGCTGCAGAAGGACTGACTGTGGCCTTTCTACCTCACCCTGGTGAAGCGCTAGGCGGGGTACAGAGATGAGTCAAGCCCAGGCACTGCTGTCCAGTCAGTCAGGAAATGAGAGTCAGCTAGGGGAGGTGAGGCTTGGCGTGGAAACACCATTACAAGTGGGAAACGGATGCCTCATGGAGGAGTTTCTGATTGTCTCATGCCCTTGTTTAAGTTCGTTTATTCATTCATTTGTTCCCAGGGGGTTGAGTGCCACTGTGTTCTGGGAGGGACTCACATGCAAAGAGGAACAAAGTGAAGAACTATGGGATTTCAAGGGGATCAGGAGGACTTAATGGAAGGGTAACATGGGAGCCAGCCTTTGAGGACAAGGAGGGCGTGGACATGCACAAGAGCGCTCCGGGTGAAAGCAGCCTGGACAGAAGCATGGAGGCAGAAAGCACAGGGTACAGAAGGGAAACAGCACGGAGTCGAACCTCTATTTCTCTGGGAGCCACTTAACACTCAGAGCCCAAAGCTGTGTCCCCCAGAGGTGTCTGTGTATCTTGTGCATCCGCCCTTCACCCAAGTGCTCCAAGGATCACTCCTGCGACACTTCTCCTGAGGGACTCCCATGCCCCTCCCTACACTGCAGTGTCAGGCCTGCTCTGGGACTGGCAAACGCTGATGGGCTCCGGAAGCAGAAAGCAATCTATCCCTGGGGAGAGGGAACACGATTTGAGGCGGTGCTTTTCAACTTTTTCTTCAGCCCTATAACTCTTTGTTCAAAATGAAACCTTCTCTAGAAGCCTAGGACATCAAGCAGATAAGCAAGAAGCTGCTCAGGCCCAGGCTGGGGGTGAGAGCCCCAGGGTCTGGTCCTGTCCCTATCCTCAGCCCCTGAGAAGGCAGCTCAGAACCAGGTTTGAACACCACTGATTTAAGCAATCCTTAGCCCTGGTGGTGGGGGTCTTAGCAAGAGGAGGCTCCCTCCAAGACAAACTGTAGTTTTTTCCTCTAAGACCCAACTATTCCCTGTTGGAGCTACTCACACCAAACCCATTTCCCCATGAGTCTAACAGTTCTCTCTTCTGGCTTTAGACCACATGGCTTTTAAACATGAGAAGAGTTCATCCTCACCACCTTGAGAAAAATGTAAAAGTGAACTACCTTAAGACACCTTCTCACCAATCACACAGGCAAAGAGAAAAGTCTTACTAAGCCAGAATGTGGGAAAGGGCGAGGGGAAATGGGCTCTCTTGTATGTTACCCTTGGGAGTATAAATTGGTATGGTTCAAAAAATTAGCCAGGAGTGGTGGTGGGCGCCTGTAGTCCCAGCTACTTGGGAGGCTGAGGCAGGAGAATGGCGTGAACCCGGGAGGCGGAGCTTGCAGTGGGCCGAGATTGCACCACTGCACTCCAGCCTGGGCAACACAGCAAGACTCCATCTCAAAAAAGTAAAATAAATTGGTATGGTTATAATCTTCAGAGGGCACTTTGGCAATATAGATTAAAAAAAAAATTTTTTTTTTTGAGACGGAGTCTCGCTCTGTCACCTGGGCTGGAGTGCAGTGGCATGATCTCGGCTCACTGCAAGCTCCGCCTCCCGGGTTCACGCCATTCTCCTGCCTCAGCCTCCCAAGTAGCTGGGACTACAGGTGCCCGCCACCACGCCCGGCTAATTTTTTCTATTTTAGTAGAGATGGGGTTTCACCTTGTTAGCCAGGATGGTCTCGATCTCCTGACCTCGTGATCCGCCCGCCTCGGCCTCCCAAAGTGCTGGGATTACAGGCGTGAGCCACCGCACCCGGCCTAGATTAAAATTTTACATGGCTACCATTTGACCCAAAATCTCCATTTCTAGGAATCTGCTCTACAGATAACACCCATTTGTAAGACTATGCATTGTAGCCTTTTTTTGTAGTATCAAGGAATGGGAAACAATCTGAATGTCCATCAGTGGGAAGCTGGTTAAATACATTATCCTACATCTACACAATAGAATACCCTGACACCGTGAAAAAAATAAAGGAAGCTTTAAAATAAGGTATGCAGGCCAAGCACAGTAGCTCACACCTGTAATACCAGCACTTCAGGAGGCCAAGGCCAGTGCATCATTTGAGGCCAGGAGTTTGAGACCAGCCTGGCCAACATGGCGAAACCCTGTCTCTACTAAAATACAAAAATTAGCCCGGCGTGGTGGTGGGTGCCTGTAATCCCAGCTACTTGGGAGGCTGAGGCATGAGAATCACTTGAACCTGGGAGGCAGAGTTTGCACTGAGCTGAGATTGTGCCACTGCACTCCAGCCTGGGCGACAGAGTGTGACTCTTGTCTCAAAATAAATAAATAAAATAGATATGCAACTACAACTATTAGAGAGGCCGTGAATGTGAGTAAATGTGTATAGTTCTATATAACATATGCCTGTACATGTGTTATAACATCTCCTAGACAGCATCTCTAGGAGAACATTTTTTCTTTTTTTTTTTTTTGAGACAGAGTCTTGTCTGTCACCCAGGCTGGAGTGCAGTGGTGCGATCTCAGCTCACTGCAACCTCTGCCTCCCGGGTTCATGTCATTCTACTGCCTCAGCCTCCCTAGTAGCTGGGACTACAGGCGCCCGCCAGCACACGTGGCTAATTTTTTGTATTTGTAGTAGAGACGGGGTTTCACTGTGTTAGCCAGGATGGTCTCAATCTCCTGACCTCGTGATCCACCCGCCTTGGCCTCCCAAAGTGCTAGGATTACAGGTGTGAGCCACCAGGCCCGACCCAAGGAGAATATAGTAAGAACCCATAATGGGCCTGGCACGGTGGCTCACACCTGTAACCCCAGCACTTTGGGACTCCGAAGTGGGTGGATCACGAGGTCAGAAGTTCAAGACCACTCCGGCCAACATAGTGAACCCCATCTCTACTAAAAATACAAAATATTAGCCGGGTGTGATGGTGTGCGCCTGTAATCCCAGCTACTTGGGAGGCTGAGGCAGAAGAATCGTATGAACCCAGGAGGCGGAGGTTGCAGTCAGCCAAGATTGCACCGTTGCACTCCAGCCCGGGTGACAGTACAAGACCCCGTCTCAAAAAAAAAAAGAACTCATAATGAAGGCTGCCTCTGAGGGGAAACTTAAGGGTGGGAAGGATGGAGAGTTACTTTTTTTTTTTTTCTATAACAAAATGCTGTAAATTGGAGACTTTTCACTGTACACACCTTTTAGAACTATTAGAATGTTCTCTCTGGTGTGTATTACCTTTATAAGAACAATTAAAACAAGAACCCCCTCCTTTGGTCCCCAGGCTTTGGCAGGTGGCATCTCTGCAAGCTCTCCAAGGAAGAAACCTCCACCCCACCAGTCTCCCCAGTCCTTTCTGCTTTTCCTCCATCCTTGCAACCGTGGTGGAAGCGGCCCAGCTCCAGGTATACAAAGGTGGCTGGAAGCCATGCTGAGCGCATCCGTAGCCCCTCTTTCCACCTAGGTGTGGCTGGGTCCCAGAAGAGTCTGGATCCCTCAGAAGGACCCCAAAGCCCCAGGGTACCCAGCCCCAGACAAGACCCCAGACACGCAGCCTGGCCTACCGCCCACAGCTCTTTCACTCCCTCAATGTGGCTTGGGCCAGGCAAGGCAAAACCCCTCTCCTCTTTTCAGAACAGGGGTTCAGTGATCCCTGCTTGCTTAGTCCCCCAGATGGACCTGACTTTACAAAACAGAGAGGAGCCTTCTTCTGGTAACCCATCACCTCTTCCAGGCAGCCCCCAGTGACACTGTCTGGCTCAGAGCACAGTGTATCTGACTTAGGGCCTGATCCTCTGCTGCTTCACACCATGGTCCAGACGGGCTGGGCTGGTTCCCTGGTGGAACTGGAAGTTCATGCTCTGCTCAAACTGGCCTCTGCACCATCCCTTCACTGGTATACTGGCCTCTGCACCATCCCTTCACTGGTATGCACCGGTACAGCGGTGCTGGCTGTCTATATCCAGTGTCCTTTCTGACTGGTCAGTCCCTATGCCGGATGGTTATTAATATTTGGAGTATCATTCCTGCCTCCACCTGAGCCTGACCTCTCCCGCCCTGCTCCTTCCTTCCTTTCAGCAAAGATTTATTAGGTACCTAAAACCTGGCGGCAGGCACGTGTCAGGCACTGGCGTGTCCCACTCACCCCAACATGTACCCCAGGCTCTTCAACCTCATGTTGGCCCTACTCCTCCATACTTCCCAAGTCCTGTCCATCTTTCAGGTTCCACTTTCCAAACCACCTTCTCCAGGAAACCAGTTGCAGCATAGCTCCAAGCTACACGGGTGCCTCCATCTATAACCAACCCCTCGCTGCACTGGCAACCACTGTCTTACAATGTAGTGCTCATGCCTCCTCTATTCCCTTTAGTCTTGTCTTCCCAAGTTATCCTTCTGAAAAATAGATTTCTTTAGTTATCTTTTTGAGCATGCACAGAATACAAAACTCAAATGATACAAAAGCATGCTCTATTGCAACCAACCTCCGATTTCCCAGGTCCTCTCCCTCTCCTGAGGCTGACTGTTGAATGGCTGAAGGGAGAAGGCAGGGATGACTAAACAAGACGGAGAGGAGGTGGCAGGGGAGGGGACAGAAATGATGGAGGGACAAGCCGGGGACCTCAAAGGGAGCGATCAGGGACAGCACTCACTACCCTGCACCTGCTGCCTCTTTTCTAGGCATCCAGAGAGCTCTCTAGGCCTCCTCGCTCGATTCCTCACTCACCTTCTTTGGAGAGAAGACGCCCACAGTTCCCCCATCCTCCCGGACGGCCACCCCCATCTCAGCCAGCAATGCTTCTCTGTGGGCAGAGGAGAGGCAAATGTCAGTCTTACCTTCACTGCCCGTGACCTCCTTCCCTGTGGGGCCTGACCTCCCCCATGGCCTCCAACTCCACCCAGGACCCCAACTGTCGGCCCTCACACCTCTCCATCCTCAGGGCTTCTGTCTTGCGTAGCTTCTCCTCCCATGTCTCGTTCAGCTCAGCTATAATCTTCTCTGTCTCCTGGGGGCGTAAGGTGGGTAGGTTTCAGGATGGTCTGGGACAAGCAGACCCAGGGTAGGGACAACCTACCCTGGGGCCATGCTACTCCTAGAATTCCTTCTTTCTCAAGCTTGACTTTGGAGAAGTAAACTCCCAGGAATGCCCAGACCCCCAGCCCTTGCCAGCTCCAGCTTCCCACCTGCAGCCTCTCCATGGCTTCCTCAGGCCCAATCTGGGACTCCGTGTTGGGGGAGAATGACGGCTCCAGCTCCCCATTATGTGTGGTGGGTGATGAGGGTGAAACTGGAGCTGGGGGAGATGACACAGCTGGCAGGGCGCCTCTGACACTCCCTTCTTCCGTCTTCAGGCCTGGGAGGGAGAAAGAGGAAAAAGAATGAGGCTAAGGAAAGAAGGAGCTGATGAGAGACATCCAGGAGACCAAGAGCTTCACAGAGGACCAGTCTGTAAGGACTACAGAAGACTGCTGGTCAGCCTCCTACCAGGCAAGGAGCCCTCCTACTGCAGCCATGGTAAATGGGCACCCAGTCTCTCTACTTGAACTCCAGGGGTGGAGAGCTCATTACTGAAGGAGGCGGCCAGTCCTTTCCACTATTAGATGATTTGCACCATCAGAAAATTCTTAGGTGGGGCTAGGTGTGGTGACTCACACCTGTAATCCCAGCACTTTGGGAGGCCCAGGCGGGTGGATCACCTGAGGTCAGGAGTTCGAGACCAGCCTGGCCAACATGGTGAAACCCCGTCTCTACTAAAATACAAAAATTAGCCTGGTGTGGTGGCAGGCACCTGTAATCCTAGCTACTTGGGAGGCTGAGGCAGGAGAATCACTTGAACCCAGGAGGTAGAGGTTGCAGTGAGCCGAGACCACGCCATTGCACTCCAGCCTGGGTGACAGAGCGTGACTGTCTCAAAAAGAGAAAATTCTTAGCTGGGCCGGACACAGTGGCTCATACCTATAATCCCAGCACTTTGGGAGGCCAAGGTGGGAGCATCACCTTAGGTCAGGAGTTCAAGACCAGCCTGGCCAGTCTAGAAACCTCTGTGTCGAACTTTTTTTTCTGAGACGGAGTCTTGCTCTGTCGCTAGGCTGGAGTGCAATGGCTCCATCTTGGCTCACCGCAACCTCCACCTCCTGGGTTCAAGTGATTCTCCTGCCTCAGTCTCCCGAGTAGCTGGGATTACAGGTGCGTGCCACCACACCTAGCTAATTTTTGTATTTTTAGTAGAGACGGGGTTTCACCATGTTGGTCAGGCTGGTCTCGAACTCCTGAACTCAGGTGACCTGCCTGCCTTGGCCTCCCCAAATGCTGGGATTACAGGCGTGAGCCACTGTGCCAGGCTAAAACCCCCGTCTCTACTAAAAATACAAAAATTAGCCAGGTGTGGTGGTGGGCGCCTGTAATCCCAGTTATTCGGGAGGCTGAGGCAGGAGAATCTCTTGAACCCAGAAGGCGGAGGTTGCAGTGAGCCAAGATGGAGCCACTGCACTCCAGCCTAGCGACAGAGCAAGACTCCATCTCAAAAAAAAAAAAAAAGAATTCTTAGCTGTGCTGAGCTGAAACTGGTCCCACGTCATGTGTGCTAGTGTTTCTAGTTCTGCCCTCTGGGATAAAAAGTCCTTACTGCTTTCTCTTCTGCAAGAAAATCCCTCAAATGTTGGAAGGCAAACATCACTAGCTACCTTATCCTTCTCTTTCCAAGAACACTCATACTCCCCACACTGTGCCCTTCAGCACCCTAACTATCCTCAATGGGATGATCTCAAGACTGAATGCAGGGTCCATTCCTGACCGTCAACATGGATTACACATCCTCTGATTTGGACACTATTTCCATCAGTGAGGCTGAGCATGACATACCAGAAAGCACTCCACTGAGATCTGTTAGGCTATGGTCCACTTCAACTCTGACGTTTTGCAAGAACTTCTGTCAAGAAAGTCACCCAGTAGCCTAGCCTCTTAACAATTTACTGTTTGACCTGTAAGCATATATTGCCATTTTTTCCTGTAACAGTCATTTCATTACTTCCAGGAGCCTGACAGGTCCTTCTGGATCCTCATCCTCTCCTAGAGAATTAGTCCCTCCCAGCTCTGTAACATCTGAAGACATACGTTCCCTCTCCACATCTGTGTCCACGTCACTGAGCACATGAAAGGTTTCATAGTGTGTGGTCCCTCCCTGGCTCCAGGACTGGGCAAAGGCAAGTGAGGAGGGATGGGGTGGGCCAAGGGGCATCCCTGAGCTGCCCCTCCCTGGAACCTCGACCTTCCAGAGCAGAGGCTGACAGTCCCTGAGCCATCAGCAGTTCCCGCAGCCGGGCTACTTCCTCCTGCAGCTCTCTAATCAGCCGGGCATTAGGGTCCTCGTTGATGATGGCATTGCAGCGGATTTGCTTGGTGCGGTCAGCATACCTGGGTGACAGAGGAGCAGGGTCGGTGAGGCCTGGGGGCAGGGGACCCTTGGTCTGCTGTTTCTCCTTCCCCCTCTCCCAGGTCTCAAGATATTGTGGCAAGGCTCCGGCATCTCCCCCGTCTCACGAGCAGGGTCCTGAGCAACTCGCCTCTGAACTCCTGGCACTCTTCCTATGCTGCCCCATCCCTGCTAGAGCCAAAAGCCTCACCTGAGGGTGCTGAGAGTCTCCTCGTAATTGATGTCAGCAGGGCTCAGGGCTGCAATCATGGCTGTGCGTGAGTTCCCCCCTGTGAATGGAGTGCATGGAAAAGCTTCAGCTGAGGGAGGGGCTAAGCAAAGTCAGACCGGGTCACAGGGCTGGGGCCCACTGCCCAGGCAGAGGTCTTACAGGGTCATGGTCTGAGGTAGGGGAGTCTAGCGGGGTGGAGCTAACCATGACATCTGGTTATGGGAGGGGATGAGGTCAGGGAGATATATCTGCAGGACAGTCACAGAACCATGGAAGGGGGATGAAGTCAGCAGTGCAGCAGTGGGTGTGAGATCAGGGATCAGGGAGGGGTCATGAGTAGCCAGGTCAGTGAGGCCCTTGGCTTGACGGGAGGGTATGGCCTTGTTCTCAGCATCAGGAAATCTTCAAAGGATGTTCCCTTTGAAGGGTCAGGGGGAGAAGTAAGACAACGGGATTTGGGATTCTCGGCATAGCAAGGGGATTTGTCAGATGTATCAAAAGAGTTTGTGGGATGTGTCAGGGTCGGCAGAGAAAGAGGAAGAGGCCCTCACCCAAATTTTCCTTGAGCAGCCAGGTGAGCACAGAGTCCCTGTAGGGGATAAAATCCGACTTTCGCTTCTTTGATTGCTGGGGGATAAAAGGAGGAAGGAGGTTAGGGTGGGTCACTCCCCTTTCCCAAGCCCCTTCTTTCCAACACCCAGGTCTCACCATATCTGCAAGGGCCGAGATCACTTTCCCTAGTGTAGTCAGGGACTTATTGATGTTGGCTCCTTCCTGGAAAAGGATGAGGAATGTGGGGATGAGACCCTCTTCTCCCAATGTGATCCACTTCCGCTTCCTACCTCCCCAGTGAGAGTCTCAGGTTCCGACTGGAGACCTCCACATACAGCCCACAACACTGCCCCACAACAAACCACCCTCTGAAGGCCCCTCACCTTCAGGCGCATGCCCCGGGCCCCTGAGGAGTCGGCTCGCTCACTCCCAGCAAGGTCCACCAAACTGATCTTACTGACCTGGGGTCAGAGGAAACAGGCAGGAGATAAGGTGCGGGTGGGGGACGGGGCAGGGAAATCAGGGAAGCACCCAGCAGGAATGTGGGCAGCTGGCAAGGGCTAGAGAGAGCCAGGAGGAGGCGAGGGAGGAGGCCGGGGGAAACAGAATACGTGACAACAGTGAGACGGTGGTTACTCACTCAATTACAAATAGCTACAGGCCCACCGCAGGCATGGACAAGGGACACACAGGGGATCCAAGCCCTGTCCTGGGTCTCGTAAGAACAGCCGGGTGTGGTGGCTCACATCTGTAATCCCAGCACTTTGGGAGGCTGAGGCGGCTGGATCACCTGAGGTCAGGAGTTCAAGACCAGCCTGGCCAACATGGCGAAACCTCGTCTCTACTAAAAATACAAAAAAATTAGCTGGGCCTGGTGGCGCATGCCTGTAATCCCAGGTACTCGGGAGGCTGAGGCAGGAGAATCACTTGAACCCGGGAGGTGGAGGTTACAGTGAGCTGACATCGCACCACTGCACCACTGTACTCCAACCTGGGTAACAGAGCAAGACTCTGTCTTAAAAAAAAAAAAAAAAGACAAGCAAACAGTAGAGGGGGACAGACTGATCTGACGGAAAAACAGGGTAGGGGTGGGGCGCGGTCATGGTAGTCCTGAGGAGGCACTCAACCCAGCATGGGCAGGGAGGGCCCAAGACCCTTCTACCATGTCACTGTCCCTGTTGCCAGGGGAGGTTGCATCCGGTGGGGGAGTGGGGGGGGGGGCGATCCCACCTTCTCCGAGTCCAGCCCCGTGAGCTGGTCATGGCAGCGCTGTGTGAAGACGATGGTAAAGACGGCATGGGAACGGCTGCTGGTCTCATTCATGTTGGTGGCAGCCACAGTCCTTAGGGTAAAGAAAGCAGTCACTGGATCCTGCCTCTCACCTTCCCAACCCTGGCCCCCTTGCCCTCTGCTCCATCAGCCTGCCTCACCGTGCTTTATTTCCACAGTCCATGAGGTCAGCAATGTCTGCGTAGGAGGTCACAGCCAATTTGGACAGGTCCTGCACGTACGGGCCCAGGATGGGGTGCTCCCGGACCCGCAGAGAACCCCGACTCTTGGGGTTCAAGAGGTCTCGTACCCGCTCACAGTAGATCTCCATATAGCTCACCTGAGTGGGAGAAGCAAATGAGAAGTAACAAAACTAGCAAAAACAATGACAACGCAACTTAATCTGACTCCACTGGACACGATCCAGGTGACTGCAGCTAATACACAGTGCGAAGCATTCTGCAGATGCTAGCTCAGCGACCTGCCCAACAAGCCAGGAGGTGTGTCCGATCAACAGCGTCTCCCAGATGAACATACGAAGCTGAAGGACAGAATCACTGCCCCAAAGTCACAGTCAGTAACCAGCAGAGCCAGGATTAGATCCCAGGCTGTCTGATTCCAGCGACAGCCCTCAGCAGTCTGGACCCCTCTCAGCCCTGCCACCAAGACCCGGGCTTACCTCCACAGAGTAGGATAGCTGAGCACTCTGGTTCTCACTAACGCGAGAGAAGAGGTCCTCACAGAGCTGGAGGGGGACACAGGGAAATACAGAGAAGCTCCTGTTCAGGGCACACCTAAAGTGTCCAGCCACAGGCCAGGCCCAGTCCCAAGTGACCCCATTTAACCCTTGCTACAGCCTTGAGGGAGGGGTTATTCCCATTTCACAGATGGGAAAACAACCTCAGAGAGGTCCCCACTTGCCCAAGATCACAGGCTACCGTTCAGCCAGCCAGGGTGCAAACCCCAGGAGTTCTGACTCCCAAGCCCGTGTGCCAGGTTGCTATGCTGGACAGCCAGGGACAATTATGGTTAACTCCGTTATCCCAATTGGCGTTTCTACAGTTAACACTCTGCTGGTGGTACACAAGCCTGCAGGAGAACTATACTCACAAATTATTATGAAACCAAGTAAAACAGTAGTAAGTCGTAAAACTGGCGCTCGAACCCAAGGCTCACTGATGCCAAAGCCCTGCTCTACTCACTGAGGCTCGTTGCCTCTGATAGGGGCGAAGACCCTCCCACCCCAGAGGGTTGTCCAGCTTGCAGTCAACCTCTATCTCCCATCACCAATGGCCTCAGAGCCAGGTCTCTGTTCCATAATCCTCCGACCCTAGTCCTTCCTTCCTCAGAGGGCAGCTAAAGATGCTCCTGCCCTGGCTGCCCCACCAGGTCCTAGGCGTACCTGGGGCACGATGCCCTGCTGCCCTGGCTCCTGTCGCCCCATCATGGTATAGGATTTCCCAGCCCCGGTCTGCCCATAGGCAAAGATGCACACGTTGTAGCCTTCAAAGGCGTGGAGCAGCATCTCTTCTCCAATGTCCCGATACACTTGCTGCTGAGATGCAAACTGGGGGTCCTCCGTCTAGGAGAAAGTGGGGGCAGAGAAAAACAGAGTAACCCTGGATGTCTTTATCCTTTGTGTCTCTGTCCCAAGAGTCTTGCTTCCATCACTGACGATTCCCCAAATGTCCTGTGTGCCCTCCCACCCTCATCATTGTCCTTACCACCCCAAGGATCCTATCCAGCCCCTGCTAGTCCTAATTACCCCAAGGGATTCCGCCTTCCTGTCGAGGCCTCAATCACAGCCTAAGGGTCCTACCACCCCCACCCAGGATCATCCTCCCAATTCACCCTGACTAATCCCCTGGGGGTCCTATTTCTTAACATGTCCCCTCCCCAGGACCTAAATCCTCTGTCTCTCACTGCCTTGCTCTTCCCCCAGCCCAACAACCCACCGAAGTGTGTGACCAGTAGGAGTAGTCAAAGGTGAAGCTTTTGGGGGCATCCTTGCTCTGTTTAGGATTGATGATGGCTGAGGGGCAGGAGAGGGTAAAGGAAGGAAAGTCAAGGTCAGGTATTCCCAGTCCCTGCCCATACCCCAACCAGCCCCTGGAATCCAAGCATCCCACTCCTCACCACTGTCCTGACTCTTCTCTCCCCTTTAACATTCCCCACCCCCTCCAGCCACCAAAGCTAATTTTGGCTTCCTAGGACCCGCCCCCACTGAGCTGCCTCCCTGGATTGGGCAATGGAGGGCTCCAGGCCAACATTCCCCCTCCCAGGGACTGGGAACACGGGAAAGGCCAGCCTGCCCCAGCCCCCGCCCTTACGACTAGCACCTGCTCTGTGCCCAGCATTACCCTCCTCTTAGTTTGGCCCAGCGGGACTGGCCTGTGTGGTGGGCCCGGCCTTCCCTGCCTGTGCCCAGCCAGGCCCCGGGGACTCACTCACAGGTGGTGTTGCCCTGCATGCTGACCACACACTTGGCATCCTGGCTGGTCTCACGGGCGTTAAAGGGCCGAACCCTCACTGCCACTTTCACCGAGGCACCAGCCATAGCTCCAGACACTCCTGCCCTCCTCAGCTGGAGGACAGAGAAAGGAGTGGTGGGGTCAGAACCACTGCAGGGACCCAGACATTGCCTCCCAGCTTCTTCCCGGAACCAGTCTCTTCACATCTCCCCCAGAGCCACCCAGCCTCTCAAGGACCCAGCTCTTATTCCCTTGGCTTTCCTCCCAAATGTCACTGTCTTGAGAGACTCCCAAAGGTATTTCTGCCTCTCTCCCCAGCCATATTCCAGCTTGCAGGAACCTGGGCGGTCTCCCCCAGTTACCTGGCGTCCTGGCCCCAGACCAGGGGGGCTGTATCAGTTCTGGCTGCCACCGGCCCTCGTAGGGGGAGCCCCATCCTACTCCTGGGGCCTGGCCACACCAGCTGGGGCTCTGGGAGATACCCTGATTGCGGGGGAAGAGTTGTTAGAAGGCACCTGTGGTTCCAGAGACCCGTCTGGGGTTCCCAGGTTGGAGGGCCAAGGTTACGGGGGGAATAGCAGGAAAAGTACGGACAGCTGCCCCTCTAGAGTGGCTGAATGCAATGTGAATCCAAGGGCAGGGACGGTGATATTTTTATTCCTTGTCACTCGCAAATGTACTGAACGTTCAGATAGAGGACAGAGAGAGAAAGAGGCTGGACAGAGGGCAATTCAGAGAGAGGGGCACATGGGCAGAGACGTGAGGGGGGTGGGAAGAGAGAGAGGAGGGGCAGAGAGTCACAGACACCAAGAAAATTAGAGAAATAAGACAAAAGGCAAGCCTGAGGTCATGCTATGAAGGAAAGAATGGGAGAGGAAAGGAGGAAGAGACACAGCACAGCAAACACACGGTGTTAAAGAGACAGGGTGGGGAACTCCGGCGCCAAAGCACAAACTGGGAGCCCAGAAGAGAGACCAGAGAGGAAACTGCAAATGCAAAACCTGTCCTCAAATTCCCCCACAGTGTCGGCAAGGGAGAATCTAGTTTCCACCTGAGGCCCACAACCTCCATGCACCAGGCCAGTAGTGCAGATGGGCAAAGTCCAAGGACTGTAGGTAGGGCCCAGGACTGGGATCCACAGGGCCAGCTGTGTGGGCTCTAAGCCCCTTGCCCAGCCCCCAGCACTTCCTCCTCAGGATCCGGGACAATGAGCAGGGGAGGGTGGGGTCATCCTGTAGCCATCAGACCAACCCTCAGGGCTCCACCCTTGGGGCGCCCAGAAATACCTGTGTTTGAGGGTAGAGGGTCCCTGGGGCCTCCCTAAAAGGGAGAAAGAAAAGGAAGCCGGCTGGCTGGTGCCAGCCCCAACCTGGGGCTAGTGCTATGGCGTCCACTGCCCTGGGGAAGGTGCCAGGCTGGAGCCCAGGAATGTGGGTGATCGGGTGCCCACACCCTGGGAGGAGAGGCTGAGCAGCCCACGCCCACGGACAACAGGGAGGAGGACCACGAAGGATAAGGGATGCGGAGCCCCCTCCTGTGGCCCCAGTGGACCCCAAACTCCTGTCACGCTGGGCCTCCCCTCACCAGTCTTCCTGGGCAGAGCATGGGAGGGTGAGGGGCTGGTCTGTCCCAGGACAGGAAGGGAGTAGCTGGAATCACAGAAGCTGGCTCAGGAAGAACAGCCCTGACCCCCTAGACCCTGACCAGGGGAGGGAAGGACACTGGTGGGGACAAGCGATGGTGACGCCGTTGCTGCAGCTAATGGGACAGGGATGGGGTGGCACGGCTGGGGGCCAGCGGGGTAAGGGAATAGAGGTAGGGACAGGGGTCGGCCGGTGCAGCTGTGAAGGAGCCGTGGGGTACAAGGAGGATACTGGGCGGCTGGGGTGGGGCCGACCGGCCCGAAAGGGGGTCTTGGGCCACCTGCACCTTGCCCACCCGGCGGTTCTCACACAGGTCCCCGCCCGGCCTCTCAGGGCGGCCATGCGGACCCGTCCTCCTGTCCAGCCAGCCGGCGGCCGCCCGGGCCTGGCACCTCTCTGCGCCTCCGCGGAACAAACAGCACATGATCCCGACTCTTGAGCCTAGATCGCGCCGCCGGACCCCGGCTCCCCGCCCCCCAACCCGGCACATTCCTCCGCGGGCGTCCCTTCCCTCCCCCTTCCCCAGCCCTCACCTCGGCGCGGCGGGGCTCCCGGAGCAGCTCGGCGGAGAGGGACAAGCTTTCCGGGAAGCGTGAGGCGGAAGCGGGAAGGATCTGGGGCCGGTTCGGAGCTGCCCCCGCCCCTCGCCGGGTGCCCGGGCGGCGGGCGGCGGACTCGCGCCCCGGGGGCGGCAGCAGTAGCGGCGCCAGCGGCCGGCGCCCGCCCGGGCAGCGCGAGCTGGGGCGGGAGCGAGGGGCGGGGGACGCGCGAGCGCGCGCGGAGGGGCGGGTACGCGCGGTCCCGGGAAGGAGCCGGGAGCGACCCGGGCTACTCTTGTTAAAGGGGCAACGCTCCTGGCCTGTGGGGCCCAGCGAGCGGGAACGTGGGGACCGAGCTGCGGACGCAGAAGGGCGAGCAGACGCCGCAACCCAGGAGGGTTGCAGACGCCTGAAGAACAGGGAAACGTCGGGGGCTGACCCGCGGGGGCACCCAGGCCCCGGCCCAGTTCCCGTCGCCGCCGTTGGAGGCGCGTCCAGGGGGCGGAGCCTCCTGCCGAGGCCCGCCCAGAAGGTGGCTCCGCTCAGGCCCCGCCCTCAGACGAGCACCGCCCGCCGGCTCCTCCCGCGGCTCGAATCGCCGTCTCTCTCCTCCCCGCCCCGCCGAGTTCTAGAATTCGCCGCGCAGCTGCTTCAGGTGCTGGGGCCAAATGCGGCCGGCCGTGGCGCGGCTACTCGGGCGCTCTGTCCCCGCCTGGCCCTCAAGTTCGGCCGCCCTGGACGCCGCCTGAGGCCCAAACAACCCCTTCAGGCCCGGGTGCCGCCTAAGGCCGGAGCTGCCCTCTCAGACCCGGGGCGTCCCTCAGGCCCCAGCCTGCCCTTCAGCCTGGGCCCACCACCTCAGGGCCCCTCTCGAGGGAAGCAGCCCCCAGTCGTGCCCTCGGGCGGGGCTGCCCGGAAGGTCCGGCCACGCCCGGTCCACCTGTCGAGGGTCCCCGTCGCCCTTTCAGGCGCAGGCCGCGCCCTCCGGCCCGGCGCTTCCCTCCAGCGGGGCTCCAGGCAGCCCCTCAGCCCCAGCCGGACCCTCGGGTCCTCATCCACCCTCGCAGGCGCAGGCCGTGGCTACCCCGAAGTCAACTGTGGAGGATCCTTCCTGGCTTCCTTCAGCTCCATCCTGCCCTTGGATCTAGGTCACCCGCTTGGACCCAACTATCTGAGGCCCGAATGCCCCGCAGCTCCCGCTGCTCCCTCGCGTTCTGCTGACCCCCCTCCGAGTCAGGACATCCCCTTTAGACCCCACTTTAGGCCCTTTCAGCCCAACTCCAACTAGCCCCATCTGCCGCTTCCGCACGGTATACTTCTCTCCGCTTTTGACCTCACCTGCTTTCCCAGCCCATCCCTAGTTCCCTTGGATAAATACTAGTTCACCTCTACAGTTCCAGCTGGCTGCTTCTGTCCTTCGGGAGCCTATGTGCACTCTCTCCTAACTTATCTAGTATTCTTTTTTTTTTTTTTTTTTTTTTTTTGAGACGGAGTCTTGCTCTGTTGCCCAGGCTGACCTCGGCTCACGGCAACCTCCGCCTCCTGGGTTCAAGCGATTCTCCTGCCTCAGCCTCCCGAATAGCTGGGATTACAGATGCCTGCCACCACACCCGGCTAATTTTTGTATTTTTAGTAGAGACTGGGTTTCGCTGTGTTGGCCAGGCTGGTCTCGAACTCCTGACCTCAAGTGATCCGCCCACCTCAGCCTCCCAAAGTGCTGGGATTACAGTCTTGAGCCACCGCGCCTGGCTTTTTTTTTTTTCTTCTTAGAAACAGGGTCTCACTCTGACGCCTAGGCTGGAGTGCAGTGCAGTGGTGCGATCTTACCTCACTGCAGCCTTGACCTCCCGGGCTCAGATGACACTCCCACCTCAGCCTTCCGGGTACAAGCGCACACCACCACACCTGGCTAAACTTTTTCGTATTTTGGTAAAGAGGGGGTTTCGCCATGTTGCCCAGGCTGGTCTCAAACTCCTGGGCTCGAGCAATCCACCCACTTCCGCCTCCCAAATTGCTGGGATTACAGGCGTGAGCCAGTGTGCCCAGCCTTAACTGCCCTTTCTCCCCACCCCAACTGGCCTTCAGGTCATCTTTGGCTGTCCCTATATGCAACTGACCTCCCTATCCACAGGCATTCCCAACTGCCCCCTCCTTCCCTGTCACCAGTTGACCATTATGTCCACACTTAACTTTTTTTAATTTCTTTTTTTATTTTGTTAGAGACAGAGTTTCACTCTTGTTGCACAGACTGGAGTGCAATGGCGCGATCTCAACTCACCGCAACCTCTGCCTCCCTGGTTCAAGCAATTCTCCTGCCTCAGCCTCCTGAGTAGCTGGGATTACAGGCATGTGCCACCATGCCCGGCTAATTTTTGTATTTTTTAGTAGAGACAGGGTTTCTCCATGTTGGTCAGACTGGTCTCGAACTCCCGACCTCAGGTGATCCACCCGCCTCAGCCTCCCAAAGTGCTGGGATTACAGGCGTGAGCCACCACACCCAGCCAACTTTTTTTTTTTAAATAGAGATGACGTCTCTCTGTATTGCCCAGGCTGGTCTCCAACTCCTGAGCTCAGGCAATTCTCTTGCCCCAGCCCCGCAAAGTGCTGGGATTACAGGTGTGAGCCACTGCACCCGGCCCACACAATTAACTTTCACTAACCACTCATAGTTGATTCATTGAGAACCCTCAATTCTGTCACTTCTCTTACCCCCAAATGCCTCCACCCCACCCAGTCTCCACTGTCATCATTTTTCAATTTCATTGTCCCATATTGCCAGTTGTCGCTTAACTGCCATCTGTAAATTTCACTTATTCTGCACATTTAGCTTCAGAAGATTTGCTTTCTCCTTTATCTTTTTACCACATCCACTTTTCCTGTGCTCACTATCTTCAACCTAAATGTTCAATTAACAGTCCAGCACTACAAATACCTTTTTTTTTTTTTTGAGACAGAGTCTTGCTCTGTTGCCAGTCTGGAGTGCAGTGGTGCAATTTCAGCTCACTGCAACTTCCTACTCCCTGGTTCAAGTGATTCTTCTGCCTCAGCCTCCGGAGTAGCTGGGATTACAGGCATGCGCCACCATGCCCAGCTAATTTTGTATTTTTAGTAGAGACGGGGTTTCTCCATGTTGGTCAGACTGGTCTCGAACTCCCAACCTCAGGTGATCTGCCTGCCTCGGCCTCCCAAAGGGCTGGGATTACAGGCATAAGCCACTGCGCCCAGCCGCTACAAATACCTTTTAAGCTCTCTCTTTTTTCAGCATCCATACATTCTTTTTCCATTCTCTAGATCTGCTACTGGCCTCATCCCTACAGACATTATATGAATGAATGCCTTTTTTTTTTTTTTTTTTTTTTTTGAGACAGAGTCTTGCTCTGTCCCCCAGGCTGGAGTGCAGTGGCGCGATCTCGGCTCACTGCAACCTCCGCCTCCCAGGTTCAAGCGATTCTTCTGCCTCAGCTTTCTGGGTAGCTGGGACTATAGGCGCGCGCCACCACACCCGACTAATGTTTGTATTTTTAGCAGAGATGGGGTTTCACTATATTGGCCAGGCTGGTCTTGAACTCCTGACCTCATGATCCGCCCGCCTTGGCCTCCAAAAGTACTGGGATTACAGGCGTGAGCCACCACATCCAGCCCGAATGAATGACTTCTTTTCCATTATCCTCCCAGCACCAAAAAGGAGACTAACTACCCAGCCCCGTCCAGTCATGCAGGTGCAGGATGATGGAGTCAACCTCATCCCCTTTGCCAAGTGAGTCCTCCCACTGGGTGGGGAGCATGGGGATGGGATGGAGGGGATATTGCATGCCTGGGTCCTTCCCTAAGAGGATTAGGAAATAAAGAACGGGAAATGCAATGCCTGGTCTCAGGGGATTGATGATTCATTAATTTATTCAACAAATAGTTTGAACACTACAATGTTCCAGGGACTGTATTAGGCACTGGGGATTCAGCAACTAGCAGGATAGGGGTCCTGCTCTTGTAGAGCTTACATTCTAGAGAGGGGAACACAGAATGTGCAAACAAATACAATTTCAGCTAATGATGGGTACTATTTAAAACATAAAACAGTGGGCCAGGTGTGGTGGCTCACTCCTGTAATCCCAGCACTTTGGGAGGCCGAGGCAGGCGGATCACCTGAGATCAGGAGTTCGAGACCAGCCTGGCCAACATGACAAAACCCCATCTCTACTAGAAATACAAAAATTAGCCAGGCATGGTGGTGCTCGCCTGTAATCCCAGCTACTTGGGAGGCTGAGGCATGAGAATTGCTTGAACCCAGGAGGCAGGGGTTGCAGTGAGCCAAGATTGTGCCACTGCACTCCAGCCTGGGCGACAGAACAAGACTCCATCTCAAAAAAAAAAAAAAAAAAAAAAGGCCAGGCACGGTGGCTCACACCTGTAATCCCAGCACTTTGGGAGGCCGAGGTGGGTGGATCACGAGGTCAGGAGATCAAGACCATCCTGGCTAACAAAGTGAAACTCGTGTCTACTAAAAATACAAAAAAATTAGCCGGGTGTGGTGGCGGGCGCCTGTAGTCCCAGCTACTCGGGAGGCTGAGGCAGGAGAATGGCGTGAACCCAGGAGGCGGACCTTGCAATGAGCCGAGATCACACCACTGCACTCCAGCCTGAGTGACAAAGCGAGACTCCGTCTCAAAAAAAAAGGCCGGGCCCAATGGCTCATGCCATAATCTCAGCACTTTGGAAGGCTGAGGTGGGCAGATCACCTGAGGTTGGGAGTTTGAGACCAGCCTGACCAACATGGAGAAACCCCATCTCTACTAAAAATACAAAATTAGCCAAGTGTGGTGGCGCATGCCTGTAATCCCAGCTACTCGGGAGGCTGAGGCAGGAGAATCGCTTGAACCCAGGAGGCAGAGGTTGTGGTGAGCTGAGACCGAGCCATTGCACTCCAGCCCGGGCAACAAGAGTGAAACTCCGTCTCAAAAAACAAAAAAACAAGGTCAGGCGTGGTGGCTCACACCTGTAATCCGAGCACTTTGGGAGGCCAAGGCGGGCGGATTACCTTAGGTCAGGGGTTCAAGACCAGCCTGGCCAACATGGTGAAACCTCGTCTCTACTAAAAATACAAAAATTAGCCGAGTGTGGTGGCGGGTGCCTATAATCCCTGCTACTCAGGAGGCTGAGGCAGGAGAATCACTTGAACATGGGAGGCAGAGGGTGCAGTGAGCCGAGACTGTGCCATTGCACTCCAGCCTGGGCGACAAGAGTGAAACACCATCTCAAAAAACAAAAACAAAACACTATGCTAAGTGTGGTGGCTCATGCTTATAACCCCAGGACTTTGGGAGGCCAAGGTGGGAGGATTGCTTGAGCCCAAGAGTTTGAGTCTGCAGTGAGCTATGATTACAGCACTGCACTCCAGCCTGGGCAACAAAGCAAGTCCCTGTCTCTAAAAAGAAAGAAGGGAGGGAGGGAGGGAAAGAAGGAGAGAAAGAAAGAGAATGGAAGAAAGAAAAGGAAAAGAGGGGAGGGGAGGGGAAGGGAGGAGAGGGGAGGAGAGGAAGAAGAAAGAAAAAATAAATAAAACAAGTATAGGCCGGGTGCGGTGGCTCACACCTGTAATTACAGCACTTTGGGAGGCCAAGGTGGGAGGATTGCTTGAGCTCAGGAATTGGAGACCAACCTGGGCAACATAGTGAGACCTCATCTCTGATAAACATTTAAAAGAATTAGCCAGGCATGGTGGCACACGCCTGTAGTCCCAGCACTCAGGAGGCTGAGGCAGGAGGATTGCTTGAGCCCAGGAATTTGAGGCTGCAGTGAGCTATAATTGGGTCACTGCACTCCAGCCTGGGTGACAGAGTGAGACTGTCTCAAAAAAGAAGAAGAAAAAAAACGGTTTGGATTTTATTCAGTGGAAAAGTTTTAAGGCAGAGAGTGACATGACCAGCCTTTTTTCCTTCAACTTTTTTTATTATGGAAAATTTCAAACAAACACAGTAGAGAAAATAGTATCATGAACCCCATGTACCCTTTTCAGTCAGCTTCAATAATTATCATTGTATGGATAATCTTTTCATCTCTATACCCATCTAGCCCCCTATTTCTCAAATTCTTTTGAAGTACATCTCAAACCTTATATTATTTCGTATGATCATCTCTCACAGTTCTGTGCAGAATATATTGTTGGGGGATGGGAATGGAAGCAGAGACGGGGGGAAGAGACCATTGCAACAGTCCAGGAAGGGGAAGATGACCTGAAATATATGGTGGTAGGAGTGGGAATGATGAGGAGTGGTCAAATTCAGGTACACAGTATTTTAGATGTAAAACTGACAGGAACTGCTGATGGATTAGATGTGGGAGGTGAGGGAAAGTGAGACATACCATGTTTTTGGTCTTAGCAACTGGGCATTTGAGTGCTTTTCATTGAGAGGAGGAAGGTTGGGGAGGAGATGTTGAGTGGAGCCCAGAGAGGAACCAGGGCTGGATATATAGATTTGGGAGTCATCAGCTTATTGACAGCATGGTACTGGGTGAGATCACCTAAGAAGAGATGAAGACAGAGAAGATAAAGGGCCCCAGGCCTAAGCCCTAACATACTCCATTTCTTAGAGATCAGGAGGGCAATCATCATTCAGCCTGTGGGGTTTGGAAGTGACGAGCAGTGTTCTCAAACAGCTCTGCACACTCCTATTTACAAGGATATTAGTCCTTTTGAGATGGGGAGACAAATGAAGTAAACAGAGGTTCTCTCCCCTGGATCCTTGCATTGACCTAAATGAATCCTATCTGTCATATAACCTGAGTAGCCAAGGCCTTCCTCTTTAACAACTCTGCTTGCTAAATATTACCTTCTCTAACTATGAGGTATAAAGCAAGCTTGTCCAACCTGCGGCCTAGGATGGCTTTGAAGCAGTCCAACACAAATTCATAAACTTTCTTAAAACGTTGAGATTAGGCCGGGCACAATGGCTCACACCTGTAATCCCAGCACTTTGGGAGGCCGAGGCGGGTGGATCACCTGAGGTCAGGAGTTCAAGACCAGCCTGGCTAACATGGCAAAACCCCGTCTCTACTAAAAATACAAAATTGGCCGGGCGTGGTAGTGGGTGCCTGTAATCCCAGCTACTCGGGAGGCTGAGGCAGGAGAATCACTTGAACCCGGGAGGTGGAGGTTGCAGTGAGCCGAGATCGTGCCATTGCACTCCAGCCTGGGTGACAAGAGTGAAACGGTCTCAATAAATACATAAATAAAATAAAATATTATGAGATTTTTTGCAATTTTTTTTTTGAGACGGAGTTTCTCTCTTGTCACCCAAGCTGGAGTGCAATGGCGCGATTTCGACTCACTGCAACCTCCTCCTCCCGGGTTCAAGTGATTCTCCTGCCTCAGCCTCCCGAGTAGCTGGGATTACAGGTGCCCGCCACCACGCCTGGCTAATTTTTTGTGATTTTAGTAGAGACGGGGTTTCAACATGTTGGCCAGGCTGGTCTTGGACTCCAGACCTCAGGTGATCCACCCACATCAGCCTCCCAAAGTGCTGGGATTACAGGCATGAGCCACCACGCCCGGCCAGTGTTAGTGTACTTTATGTGTGGCCCAAGACAATTTTTCTTCTTCCAATGTGGCCCAGGAAGCCAAAAGATTGGACATCCCCGATATAGAGCTTAAACTCAGTGAGATCTGAGGGTCAAACTATAGCCAATCTCCACCCTCAACCCAGCTTCAATTTCCTTTCAAAGCAGAGGCCTTACCACCTTCTTCAGCTAAAGTGGTTAAGAGAGGACATGGCCCGAGGGAACCTGGGCAGCTTTATAGTCCCATGGAAAGATGGCCCCTGAATCCTTGGGATGAGTAGACTGCTGTAAGGGAAGAGCCAGACCCGAGCCTACCTTGTCCTCACCTCAGGTGTTCCAGGGTGGTCAGCCGATCTCCACCCCCAAGGTTGCCTTCCCAGAGCCTCAGACCCATGCCCCAGCGTTATGGAGATGTCTTCTGGAAGAACCTTAATCAAAGGCCCACGTGAGTAGAGGAGAAAATGGAAACTAACTGGATGTGGTCTTAACTGGATTAAACTACCATAAACCCATATAGCAATAGGCCCTAGTCTGCGGTTAATTTCCCACTGGCTGGTGGACATTGTAGCTCCTAATGACAGAAAGGAGGTCGGGAGAGATTATTAAAGAAGCAATATGGATGGACATGTCCCCTCTGCACTTATAGCCCCCTTTTTGTTCTTCACAGCCCCACTTGGCTGGAGGAGCAGCACATTCCACCCATGCTGGTAAGACAGACCCTCTGCCGTTTAACATTTCTCTGTTAAAATTGCACCCACTGCTGTCCTGTCCCAAGCTCTCCTTATTACCGCTTCCCTCTGTTATTCCCCAACCAGTGCACTGACCAGGCCTTCCTTTCTATGAATCAGTCATCATGTTTTCGAGATCACAGGGGTCTTCCCAAGACCCCAGACTCCCTACCTAGTTCAATCCAAGCTCCCTTGAGAGAGCCAGTTCTTCTTTCTAGCTCTTTTTCCCCATTCTCTGGCACAGAGAGCCACTGGTTGCTCCCAGCTTGGTCTGTATCCTCCTGAGCAGCTCCCACCCCCTGAAATGCTTTGGAGAAGAAAGAAGAGGAGGCCATGTTTGGAAGGAATGCAGCAGCAGGGCCTTGGGGGAGTCCCCGCCCGGGTGAGGGCTGTCACTTACCACCTGGAGGACCTAAGAAGGCGTCAGAGCATCATCAACGAGTAAGGAAGGGAGACATCTGGGTTCTGGGAGTCATGCAGGATTTGGGGGCAGAACAGTTTGAGCTAAGGAAGGGGTTGACAGCTTTGAGGGGAGGTTTGAGGGGAGCTTTGAGGGGAGGTTGCTTGGAAGGAAGCTGTGGGCTTTGGTGTGATTGAAACAGATTTCTGTAATATGGAAAGAAGGAGGGAACTGCAGTAAGGAGGATGAGCCACATGAGCTGGAAGGAGTGGAAACTAGATCACTGAAGACAGGAAAGCAAACCATAGAACTGGAGGACAGTGGGGAGGTTGGGGTCACCTCTGGGTTCCTAGACAATATGCTTCAGTCTGAGGGGAGCAGAAAATTGGGAGTGGAGGGTTAAAGGTCAAATGACAACTCCCTGGAGTCCCAGCAGGAAGTATTTCAGAACAGAAAGGTGAAGAATGGAGAGACAGGAAGCCTGGCCTCCAGGCACTTCTCTCCTCAGCCTAAAGTCTCCACAGACTGAAGAAGGCCCAGTGGGGCAGCTCTGGGGCTGCATCTGAGCCAGTGGTGCTTGGCGAAGAGGGCTGTGGATTCCCCAGCACCAATGAATACCCTGATCTGGAAGAGGAGAGAGCAACCTATCCACAGGAAGAGGACCGTTTTCTCACTCCTGGCAGGGCCCAGGTATTGTTGGAGTGGAACTGGGTGGAGTGAGGGAGTGATGTGGGTCTCTGGTCTTGCATGGAGATGCAGAAGCTGAGAGCCAGGCTGGAGAGCTGGATTTGAGAGAAACAAAAATAACGTAGGTGAGAACCAGAGACTTCGAGGTACCTAAGCTTGGGTACTAGGAAATCTGGAAAGAAGACCTACTTTTCCATTTTCTTTTTCAATTTCTCTCATCTTGACAGCTGCTTTGGTCTCCCTGGAGCCCCCTGGATCAGGAGGAGGCTTGTGCCTCCAGGCAGCTGCACTCTCTGGCCTCGTTCAGCACTGTCACAGCCAGAAGGAACCCCCTTCACAATCCCTGGGGGATGGAGTTGGCAGCGTCTGAAGAGTAAGGAGAAACCACCGATGCCGAGAGGCTAGTGGTGCCCCAGGGACCCAAGACTAGTTCCGTCACTAGAGTCACCCTCATTGCTGACATGAAGGCGTTTCCCCTTCCTTCGTCTCTCCAACTGCCTTTCCCATCCTCTGAACTAGGCATTAACAGCCCCCGTGGGCTCCCATCTCAACCCACCGCTCTCACAGGAGCACCCCAAGTCCTGTTTTCCTCCAGGCCCCGCTCCTGGCCTTGTATTCTCTCTGCTCTGTTATTAAAAAGCAAGCAAGTGGAGCCCGAGTTGTCTTTCTTCTTGGGATGCAGCGATGGAGAGGCCAATGGGGAAGGAGGGCTCCTTTCGCTTTCTCGAGGACCCAGCTACAATGAAGTCGGGCTGGGTCCCCAGACAAGGAGTCTTGTCCGAGGCGAGAAGGGTCCTGCTCCCAGTCCAGCGTTCCTCGCCCGGCCCCTCGGGTTCCAGCACTGGTGGGCTGCCCCCGCCCCGTTCTCTCGAACTGGGAGTCAGTCGGCCGAGCTTCCGCCTCCAGGACCCTGGAATCCTGCCCCTCAGTGCTGCTGCCCTTTTGGGGACTTCCCAGCAGTCTGTCCCTCGGCCTGGCTCAGAGCCCTAGAAGCCGAGTCCCTCTGCCCAGCGCCCCACCCAGAACTCCACGTGTGCTGACCCCAGGTTCCCTTCCTGACCCTCATCCCCTTAATTGGGAGGCCCCGCCCCGTGCGCAGTGACGTTAGACGCCGCTGTCAGCCGGCGCTGGGGGGGGTCGGTGTGGGGTAGAATGGCCGCTGCCGCCGTCACCCGCGGGACCCCGGGAGGTAAGAGCCAGGGCCTCTCGCCCGCCTCTCCGCCCCCGCGCCAGAGGGCGCAGCTCCTCCAGGTCCCGACGCGGAGCGCCGCGCCAGGGACCACCGTCCCTCTTCCCGGTTCGCCCTCACCTCCCGCTTCCGTCCTCCTCCCCCGCGCCAGGGGGCGCCGCTCACCGCAGGGCCCCACGGCGGACCAGCGCGTGCCGGGGACTGTCCCGGAGACCCCCGCACCCGGCACCTGCACTGTCCCTCGCCCACCGCGTGCCCGCGGACTCTGCTCCCGGCTTCTCCAGAACATCCCTCTATGCGGGCGGGACCCTCCCACCTCGGAGGTTCTCCTGGGACCACCACTCCGCCGGGGGGCCGCCCAGAGTGCCAAGCGTCCGATCCGGCGCCGCCCAAGTGCAGCCCAAGGACCCGCTCCCGCTCCGCACCCTGGCAGGCTGCCTAGCCAGGACTGCGCACCTGCGCCCTGGGGCGGAGTCCTTACCCCAACCCCAGCTTCACTGCACATAGCCGAGCCCGACGGGCCTCCTCCCATCTCCATCCTGGACACCTGGCGGAGCCCGTGCTGAGAGCCTCCGCCAGCTCCCATCTGTTCCCCGAGGAGGGCGGGGGGCTCAGGCTGGAGCCAGAGCGGTAGATGGGGTAGGCTAGGCCTGGAGGCCAGGGGAGGCAGAGGCGTTTGGGGAGAGGGAGCTACGTAGAGAGGGCTGTCAGCCGGAGGGTGGGTTGTCCTGAGGGTGGGAATCTGGGTGTCTGGCCCAGATTCTATCAGGTCCTAACCAACCTGGAGGAGAGAATAGGTTAGGTTCAGTTATCAGATCTGCCCTTCCCCTTGGAAAAATCAAACAGAGAAGGAACTCAGGGCGTGTCTTCTAAAGGCCTAGCTTCTACCGGAGGTAGAATCTCCTGCCCTGCCCCCAGGATCCAGGCTCTCTTGCCAAACCATCCTCCAAGGACCGGATGGCCTGAGTCCCAACCCCCAGGACCTGACCCAACCATAGCCCCAGTCTGTGCAAAAGCTCAAGGTTTAGGGCCTCTGAGGCCCAAGCCCTGCCAGTCTTCTCCCCGCTCCCCCACCCCAACCCATTTCTTCCTGCTCACTCTTCCTGTCCAGTCTGCTCACTCATATTGGCTCCGGGCACTGTGTGTTGTTCTCTCTTCTACTGTCACATCACAGTCAGCCCCTCCCTCCCTTTCCTCATCCTTCCCAGATACTATGACCCAGTTCTATACCCACTCCCTACCTCATACTTCTCATCCTGGATTAATGTGGGGGCTTCTGCCATGACCTTGTTCTCTCCCTTCCCAGCACAGACTCCCCCTCCCCCCGGCCCCTCAGGCCGGGGGTGACCTTGCCCCCTGGAGCCCTCACCATGAATACCAAGGACACCACCGAGGTTGCTGGTAAGTTCACAAACCAGGTTCCCAATGTGGCCACAGCCTTTCGTTCTCCCCACGCTTTAGTGGCCCTCTAATTCTTGGATTTTCTGTTCTCCTTAGTGAGGTTTCAGTTTTCCCCAGTGCTCTGTATTGCCTTCAGCCCTTTCCCCTTGGACTATCACAGGGATGCCCCAGGGTAGCACACTAAACCCTCCCTTCTAATTCCCTTTAGAAAACAGCCACCACCTGAAGATCTTTCTCCCCAAGAAGCTGCTGGAGTGTCTTCCTCGCTGCCCGCTGCTGCCTCCAGAGAGGCTACGGTGGAATACAAATGAGGTTTTCTAGGGAGGCTGGGGGTTGGGGCCCAGCAAGACCTAGTAGGCTGGAGGAGGGTGAGTGGGGGGTCTTTCCGTGTCTGTCAACACTCCTAAGTGCAGAGCACCATTCTAAGCTCTTTGGGGATCCTAGGAGAGGTATAAAAACATGGATCTTGGCCGGGCATGGTGGCTCATGCCTGTAATCCCAGCACTTTGGGAGGCTGAGGCGGGTGGATCATCTGAGGTCAGGAGTTCAAGACCAGCCTGGCAAACATGGTGGAACCCCGTCTCTACTAAAAATACAAAAAGCAGCCAGGCGTGGTGATGTACGCCTGTAATCCCAGCTACTCGAGAGGCTGAGGCGGGAGAATTACTTGAGCCAGGGAGGCGGAGGCTGCAGTGAGCTGAGATCACGCCACTGCACTCCAGCCTGGGTGACAGAGTGAGACTCCGTCTCAAAAACAAAAACAAAAAGACATGGATCTTGAAGGAGCCCTCTTTTCTGTGGCATAGCCACCTGGGTAAAAACAAAAGCTACTGCCAGTAAAGTATTCCTTACATACTGGGCACCGTGCTAAACATTTGGCCTGCCTTGTCTCATTTAATCCTCTAACGGTTCTATAGAGCAAGCCCTGTTATTGCTCCTATGTTATTGATGAGGAAACTGATTTACCTCATAGTTTATCTAACTTACTCCAGGGCCTTTTTTTTTGAGACGGAGTCTCGCTCTTGTTGCCCAGGCTGGAGTACAATGGCGCGATCTTGGCTCACTGCAACCCCCGCCTCCTGGATTCAAGTGATTCCCCTGCCTCAGCCTCCCAAGTAGCTGGGATTACAGGCATGTGCCTCCACGCCCGGCTAATTTTTGTTTGTTTTTTTTTTGAGATGGAGTCTCGCTCTGTCGCCCAGGCTGGAGTGCAGTGGCGCGATCTCGGCTCACTGCAAGCTCTGCCTCCCAGGTTTACGCCATTCTCCTGCCTCAGCCTCCGGAGTAGCTGGGACTACAGGCACGCCACCACACCTGGCTAATTTTTGTATTTTTAGTAGAGATGGGGTTTCACTATGTTGGCCAGGCTGGTCTCGAACTCTAGACCTAGTGATCCGCCCATCTCGGCCTCCTACAGTGCTAGGATTACAGGCATGAGCCACCACGCCCGGCTGGAACCTTTGTTATTAACCACCACTGATACTGGCTCTTTCTGGAGGAGGCACAGTCCTTGTGTTACACATTTTCTGTATTCTGCATACTTACTGCCTTGTATGTAGTTGGTTGTTGATATTTATCAATTTGATGTCAGAAGAGGACTGTCAGTAAAACGATGCGTGTATGTGTGTATGTGTGATTGTTGTAAGTGCTATAGAGCGTTTAGGAAGGTCCAGTGTGGTCAGCAGGGCTTCATGGAGCATCTGAAAAGGGGTTTGGTTTATAGAATGGCTATGATTTCCAGATATGGAGAGGTGTGCACATGGTACCTGCCTTGTAGGGCACTAACATGCAGGAGGTAACTATTCAAAGCATGTTCAGGAAGGAATCAATGGATCCATCTGGCAGGAATTGTAGGAGCAATATGGGTAAATAGTGGGAACAGTGAAAGTTTGATCCCTTGTTGGGAAGAACCTTGGAGTCAGGCTAAAGAATCTGAAACTCCTGCCAGGCACAGTGGCTCACGCCTGTAATCCCAGCACTTTGGGAGGCTGAGGCGGGTGGATCACGAGGTCGGGAGATCAAGACCATCCTAGCTAACACAGTGAAACCCCGTCTCTACTAAAAATACAAAAAATTAGCCGGGCGTGGTCGTGGGCGCCTGTAGTCCCAGCTACTCAGGAGGCTGAGGCAGGAGAATGGCATGAACCCAGGAGGAAGAGCTTGCAGTGAGCCGAGATGGCGCCACTGCACTCCAGCCTGGGTGACAGAGCGAGACTCTGTCTCAAAAAAATAAATAAATAAATAAATAATCTGAAATTCCTGGCAGTGTCAAACCACTGAAATTTTTTGAGTCAGGAAGGGGCACAGAGGCCAGGAGTGGTGGCTCATGCCTGTAATCCCAGCACTTTGAGAGGCTGAGGTAGGCGGATCACCAGAGGTCAGGAGTTCAAGACCAGCATGGCCAACATGGTGAAACCCCGTTTCTACTAAAAATACAAAAATTAGCTGGGCACGGTGGCAAGTGCCTGTAATCGCAGCTACTCTGGAGGCTGAGGTAAGAGAATTGCTTGATCCTGGGGGGCGGAGGTTGCAGTGAGCTGAGATCATGCCATTGCACTCCAGCCTGGGTGACAGAGTAAGATTCTGCCTCAAAAGAAAAAAAAAAAAGTCTGGGCACGGTGGCTCACGCCTGTAATCCCAGCACTTTGGGAGGCCAAGGCGGGTGGATCACCTGAGGTCAGGAGTTCGAGACCAGCCTTACCAACATGGTGAAATCCTGTCTCTACTAAAAAAAATACAAAATTACCCGGGCATGGTGGCGCATGCCTGTAATCCCAGCTACCCGGGAGGCTGAGGCAGGAGAATTGCTTGAACCCGGGAGGCAGAGGTTGCAGTGAGCTGAGATCGCGCCATTGCACTCCAGCCTGGGCAACAAGAGTGAAACTCCATCTCAAAAGAAAAAAAAAGGGGCACAGGAATGAGATTTTTGGAGAGTAAAATAATTCACAAAAAAATGTTAGACTTTTGTCTTAGGACAAAAGAAGGGTTCTTAGGAGGGCAGTGGGTCTTGCTGGGTCCAGATACCTAGAAGCATCCTCCACTAGCTGCCAGAACTCAGCAGAGAGTGAGACACTGACAGGATGACCAAGAGGCCAGGCTGAGACTCTCTGTGAAGGAGATGCCCAGCTGAGTGCCTCCTCTCCTACAGGAGATTGCATCCTACCTGATCACCTTTGAGAAGCATGATGAGTGGCTGTCTTGTGCCCCAAAGACAAGGTGAGAAAGTTTGAGAACATGGGGGAGTGGCAGGGGTCCTGGGTTCTGTTCACAGAACTCCAGGGCAACCCTTCCCTTCCCAGGCCTCAGAATGGCTCCATCATCCTCTACAATCGCAAGAAGGTGAAATATCGGAAGGATGGTTACCTCTGGAAGAAGCGGAAGGATGGGAAGACCACCCGAGAGGACCACATGAAGCTGAAGGTCCAGGGCATGGAGGTAAGAGAGTCAGATATTCAGCTCATCTTCCCGAGCCTGCCCTCCTCCACCCTTAGCTGGGCTCTAGCCCGACCTGGGCTTGGTGGCATTGTCCACCTCAGTCCCCTCCCAGTTACTCTTCCCTTCTCACTCACTTTGGGTCGGCTGACATTGCTTTGGCCACTCTCCACTTCCCATTTCCCTCCGTGACTCAACTATCCAGGCCGTAGGCCATGCCTCCCTTCCAGAACACTGATGCCCAGGCCCCTCACTGCTCTTGTGTTTCCCTCAGGGATCCCAGCAATGATGCTCTCAGCACAGGTTTCTCTTCCCCAAATCATTGCCCCTCATCTCAGATGCATTCTTGCTCTGCCCTCTGGTTTCTAGATAGTCCCGTATCTCAAATCTGGTCCTCACTATAAGGCCCCAGCCCCACTGCTCATCTATGACTCAGGGTGGCTGGGATTCAAAAGGGGTGGGGAATAGGTGGGGGCGAGGGTGGGGGAAGGGTTGAAGAGGAACTGGTGGAAAGATTGGGATTCCTGCAAAGGGACTGAACAGAGGAAGAGTTGGGGAGCAGACTAGCCCTCCCCCCACCCCAGCCTGTCTCCTGGCAGTGTCTCTATGGCTGCTACGTTCACTCTTCCATCGTCCCCACATTCCATCGGCGCTGCTACTGGCTGCTCCAGGTAAGGACGGAAGAGCCCAGGGAGCCACCCTCTTCCTGACTCTTTGAGGGACACGGGTCTGAAAGAAGGAAGTGAAAGGATGGCTGAGTTCTGAGTGAGGAAAGGAGCCTGGGAAGAAGAGAAAGGGGCTTGGGGATGGAGAGAGTCAGAAATTGGGGGCGAGGTTAGGAGGGTGCCCAGGAAGAAAGTGAGGATTAGGAAGCCAAGCCCCTGGACCTCAGGACCCCATGGCTCTGTGTGTCCCCTTATACTCTCAGAACCCTGACATCGTCCTTGTGCACTACCTGAACGTCCCAGCCCTGGAGGACTGTGGAAAGGGCTGCAGCCCCATCTTTTGTTCCATCAGCAGCGACCGTCGAGAGTGGCTGAAGTGGTCCCGGGAGGAGTTGTTGGGACAGCTGAAGCCCATGTGTAAGGCAGCAGGGTGGGGATAGAGCTCCAAGGGGAGAGTAGAAACAGGGCTCCCAGAGGGGCCATGGTTCTGGACCCAAAGCCTGAGGGCTGATCATCTCCCTCCAAGCTGGGAGGGTGCTAGGATTCCCGGTGTGTTCTCAGGTATTAGAATACGGAGAAAGGACTAAAGCAACATATCTGAGCAGTCTTGAGGCTGCTGGCCTCTGTTCACCTGGCCAGAAGTCTTGAAGCATGTCAGGTGCTTGGAGGAGCCATCAAGGTACTCTGGGGCCTGTTTCGTGGGGATCCCACAGCACTTCCCCCTAACTTCTCTAGTTCATGGCATCAAGTGGAGCTGCGGGAATGGAACAGAAGAGTTCTCTGTAGAACACCTGGTGCAGCAGATTTTGGACACCCACCCAACCAAGCCTGCTCCCCGAACCCACGCCTGTCTCTGCAGTGGGGGGCTTGGTAAGTTACTCCCTGACCTTTTGGCTGTCTTCCCACCTAGCCACACTGCTCTTACGCAAGCCAGGGGGATATCCATCTTGATGGGATTTGCATGCTGATTTGCAAGTCTTTTGCATGTCCCAGAAAGATGGGCCAGATGAACAGACGTTCCCATCTGGGTGCACACTGGCTCGGAATCAGCCTTGCACTCAGCTGTCATGGCAGCCTCTGCCCTTCCTGTCTTCTACCTTCAGCAATTCCTGTCCCCTCAGCACCACCAGTGACACCCAGCCTTAGCCTTCCTCCTAGTTGGCACCCCCTTGGTTCTGTTCTTTTGTCCTTTTCCTATGCCTTTAACTTTTGCTTTTAGCTACTCTCCCAAGCCCTCAGTTCTCTGGAGCGTTCCTCTGGTCCTGCTTGTTTTGAGGGGAAATGGAGAGGGGGAGGGGGAATAAAGGGTAGGGGTAGAGAACAGACATTTCTGATGCCTCCCAGTGGCTACAATCAGTATTACACCTCTGGTTTATAGGGACGTCCCAGGAAATACTTTTAAGGGCCTCAAGGTAGAGAAGGTGCGGAATGATGTGTCTTATCTCCTCTCCCTCCTACTCCTCTCCACTCCAGGTTCTGGGAGCCTTACCCACAAATGCAGCAGCACGAAACACCGCATCATCTCTCCCAAAGTGGAGCCCCGAGCTTTAACCCTGACCTCTATCCCCCACGCTCACCCCCCAGAGCCTCCTCCACTGATAGCCCCACTTCCCCCAGAGCTCCCCAAGGCACACACCTCCCCATCTTCTTCCTCTTCTTCCTCCTCATCAGGTTTTGCAGAGCCCCTAGAAATCAGACCTAGCCCTCCCACTTCTCGAGGGGGTTCTTCAAGAGGAGGCACTGCTATCCTCCTCCTGACAGGACTGGAGCAGCGGGCTGGAGGCTTGACGCCCACCAGGCACTTGGCTCCACAGGCTGATCCTAGGCCTTCCATGAGTTTGGCAGTGGTTGTAGGCACTGAGCCTTCTGCCCCACCAGCTCCTCCCAGTCCTGCCTTTGACCCTGATCGTTTTCTCAACAGCCCCCAGAGGGGCCAGACATATGGAGGGGGGCAGGGAGTAAGCCCAGACTTCCCCGAGGCAGAGGCCGCTCATACCCCCTGTTCTGCCCTAGAGCCTGCTGCTGCCCTGGAGCCCCAGGCAGCTGCTCGGGGTCCCCCACCACAGTCAGTAGCAGGTGGGAGAAGAGGAAACTGCTTCTTCATCCAAGATGATGACAGTGGGGAGGAGCTCAAGGGTCACGGGGCTGCCCCACCCATACCTTCACCCCCTCCCTCACCCCCACCCTCACCTGCCCCCTTGGAGCCGTCAAGCAGGGTAGGAAGAGGAGAGGCCTTGTTTGGAGGACCTGTTGGGGCCAGTGAACTGGAGCCCTTCAGTCTTTCATCATTCCCAGACCTTATGGGAGAACTCATCAGTGACGAAGCTCCAAGCATCCCTGCTCCGACCCCCCAGCTGTCTCCTGCTCTTAGCACCATCACAGACTTCTCCCCAGAGTGGTCCTACCCAGAGGTGAGACTCAGGCTTACCTCCTCCCTCCTCCCTCCTATTTGTCTTCTGACTCCCCAAAACAAATTGTATTAACTCTTACCCCGTGGTCTGTGACCTAGTTTCCCTCAGTTTTCATGGCTTCTTAGGCTTCTTAGTCCTCTACCTAATCTCTCTCTTTTTTTTTTTTTTTTTTTTTGAGACAGTTTCGCTCTTGTTGCCCAGGCTGGAGTGCAATGGCACAATCTTGGCTCACTGCAACCTCCGCCTCCCGGGTTCAAACGATTCTCCTGCCTCAGCCTCCTGAGTAGCTGGGATTACAGGTGACCGCCACCACGCCCGGCTAATTTTTGTATTTTTAGTAGAGATGGGGTTTCACCATGTTGGCCAGGATGGTCTCAAACTTCTGACCTCAGGTGATTGCCTGCCTCGGCCTCCCAAAGTGCTGGGATTACAGGTGTGAGCCACCGTGCCCAGCCGCCAATCTCTTTTTTTATGTAGAGTGAAGCTGCTTTCCTGTTTCCAGAGTCCTCAGCAACTTAACCTTTTTTCTGTTCCTCTCCCTTCCATGTGTTAGCATGGTTTCTGGAGTCTCCTAGGACCTCATTCCCTTCCTGACTGTTTTCAGGGGTAGGGAATTGGGGCTGTGCAGCCTGGAGAAGAAAAGAAACATCAGGGATGTGATTGCAGACTTTGAGTAGCTGAAAGACTGTCTTCAGCAGTGGAGAAGTTCTGTTTTATGCTGCCTTTGAGAGGAAAAGGAGGAAGTACAGTGGGGGTGAATTAGCCCAAGAACAGAACTTCCTTCTGGTGACAGCTCTGTGGTAGCTTTGGGGGAGGCCCTGAATTCCCAGCTACTGGCAGATTCAGGTAGAGACCAGGCAACCACTTGGCAGGAATGTTGGGGAGAGATAGACTCACTGACCTCACCCCACTGGGTCCTGTCTATCCCTGGACCCCCAGACTCTAGCACAGGACCTGCCATATAGTAGATACCCTGTAAGGGTCTGAATAAATGAATGAGTGAGGGGATGAACGCCCAACTCCAGTCACATGGTCTCTGACTTCTGTCTGCAGGGTGGGGTCAAGGTGCTCATCACAGGTCCTTGGACCGAAGCCGCCGAGCATTACTCCTGTGTCTTTGATCACATCGCAGTGCCAGCCTCACTTGTCCAGCCTGGTGTCTTACGCTGCTACTGTCCCGGTATGAGGATTGGGAACCGTAGGGGGAGGGACTGACATGTGGGCAGTTAGGACAGATCAGGACCTCCAGGCTTCCAGAAAGCACTGGGAACAAATGGGTTGTTTTGAGAGCACAAGGACTTCATCCAGTCCTGAGGTTGAGCCCCAAGCTCTCCCAGCAGGCAGAAGAGCCCAGACTTAGGTGTCAGAAGATCGAGGTTCTGGTCCAAGAAGTCTACTCCTTAGCTAACCAGTGACCTCAGATGAGTCTGATCCTTCCTGAGGTCCTTGGCCTCCTCTCCTGTAAGGTTAGGCATTGACCAAAGGGATTTCTAATGTCTGTCCAGGCTTTCTGGCTTAGAGCCAGAGTCTCCAACTCCAATCCAGGGGGAATGAGAAAGAAGAAATGTGGGTTTCCTCTAACCAGTCTTGGGACTGAAGGACATTGGCTTTTAGAACTGTGCTGTCCAGTATGGTAGCCATTAGCCACATGTGCCTATTAATTAAAGTTAAAGAATACTTAAAATTCACTTCCCCAGTCTCACTGACCATGTTTCAAGTGTTCAGTAGCCACACATGGCTCGTGTTACCCTATTGGATAGTGACGATATAGAACATTCTTGTCACTGCAGAAATGTTCTATTGGACAGCACTGGTCTAGACTTCATTGCCAAGGTTCATCTCTGCCCTTTTGCCACCAGCTTTGCCCTTACCCTACACTCAAAAATCAGCCTTACTAGGGGACCTCAAGGACCACCAAAGTGACAGGTTGGCAGCTTTGCTGTCTACGAGTGTGTTCTCCCCCAGTCTCTACAGCAGCATCCAGCATGTGTGTAAGGAAAGGGGATGAGACCAGAGAATCTGGGGACTGGGAGAAAAAGTCTCAGCACCTGGTCTTAGGATCAGGGCCTGCTGGTTCCATGCTTATGGCCACTGGACACTGTTCATGAGCGGCTAGCTCCCCTTTCCTCCATCTCAGTAACAGGGTCATAACTTCCAGACTCTGATCCGGGGATCAAGAGGATTTTCCAACATCAAATTGTTCATAACTAGTCTCTTGACCCTCAGTTTCCAAACCTTCTTGCTGAATAACAAATATCTTCAACTACAGGGTCTAGAATCCAAGGGATCTCTGGCCCATAGTACGTATTAAGTTCTCAAACAAATGGACTCCCTTCCCAGTTAGTGCCAAGGCCACTGAAGCCAGGGGCCTCTTGGCCCACAGCAGGGCAGTAGGGGAAATAACTATGGAATAATTGTCTGTGGCTGACACAGGTAGCCAGAGAAGGAGCCAGGGAAAGAGAGCCCTTCTCGCTGATCCTACCCTCTCCAGCCCATGAGGTAGGGCTGGTGTCTTTGCAGGTGGCAGGGCGGGAGGGGCCCCTTTCTGCTTCTGTGCTCTTTGAGTATCGAGCCCGCCGATTCCTGTCTCTGCCTAGTACTCAACTTGACTGGCTGTCACTGGACGGTGAGTACCCAGCCCTCTGAACCCAAGTATCCAGCCCACAGCCTTTAAGCATGACATGCTCCTAGACCACTCAGGGTTCAGGTGGCCATCACTGAGCCCCCACTTTACCATTTTTTTTTTTCAATTCCTATTTCATTAGTGATTTCTAAATGTGGCAGCAAACTTCCCTTACCTCCTCTTCCCCATAAATCTTGGGGTCATTTTTATACCAGTTCTTGACCTGCCTTCTCCATCCCAAAGGGTGGAATCTAGACAAGGAAGGCTAAGAGGCAGGGCAGGGACAGGGTCTAGAGCAATATATAGGTGCTATGCACAAGTTTATGTACTTATTTATTATTTATTTTTCTCTTCTTTTTTGAGACGGAGTCTTGCTCTGTCTCCCAGGCTGAACTGCAGTGGCGCGATCTCAGGTCACTGCAACCTCCACCTCCTGGGTTCAAGCAATCCTCCTGCCTCAGCCTCCCAAGTAGCTGGGATTACAGGTGCCTGCCACCAAGCCTGGCTAATTTTTTGTGATTTTAGTAGAGATGAGGTTTCGCCATGTTGGCCAGGCTGGTCTCAAACTCCTGACCTCAAGCAATCCACCCCGCCTTGGTCTACCAAAGTGTTGGGATTACAGGCGTGAGCCACCACACCCGGCTGTACTTATATATTTAAATTTCTATTGTTTTTCCTTTTCTGATATAAAGACGTGTTCATTAACAGAAATTTGGAAATTACACAAAAGCACAAAATAGAAAATAAAAATTTCTGGCTGGGCGCGGTGGCTCGTGCTTCTAATCCCAGCACTTTGGGAGGCCAAGGCGGGTGGATCACCTGAGGTCAGGAGTTTGAGACCAGCCTGGCAAATATGGTGAAACCCTGTCTCCACTAAAAATACAAAAATTAGCCAGGCGTGGTGGTGGGTGCCTGTAGTCCCAGCTACTCAGGAGGCTGAGACAGGAGAATTGCTTGAACCCGAGAGGCGGAAGTTGCAATGAGCCAAGATTGTGCCACTGCACTCCAGCCTGGGCGACAGAGCGAGACTCCGTCTCAAAAAAAAAGAAAAAAATTTCCTATACTACTACTTCTCAGTGATATCCATTGCTAATAACATGGTGTACTAACACAAACATAGAGGCACATACATACGTGTATCTATGTGTGTGTGTATTTATTTATTTAAATCTGGGAGTTTTTGTTCCTGTTACTGGTTCTCTCTCTTGTGGCCTTGAACATTGTTTCTGTCTGCACCTGCTGCTTTCTGCTTTCTCAAGGTTAGCTTTTCTCTATCTCTTCCTCTTGGTGTCTTTGTTGTTGCCTCTTGGCTTCTCTCAGTTCTGCTGCCATCTGTGTTATCTTAGTCTCCCTCTGTCCTTACTTCTCTCTCTCCGGAGCTCTGGTCCTTAGTTTCGCCTCACTCTTGGAGCTGGACCCCACACAAAGCCCGAGTGTGTTGGGTTGCTTGTCTCTGACTTGAGTCTGCCTACCTTGGGATCTGGCCAGGCCTCTCAGTCCTGTTCTGTCTCTGTCCTGCCCTGTGACTGTTCATCACCTTATTTCTCTGTCCCTGTCTAATCTACGTTTTACCGTCTCTCCTATGAGTCTCTTCCATCCCTCTTCTTTCCATTTCTTCTTGAACCAATATCTTAACTTGCCTGTCTTTTATCGTCCTTTCTTACTGCTTGTTTGGCACTTTTCCCCCAGCCCTCCTTTGTCCTTTCTCTCCTCTCCTTCACTTTATCTTTTTTGCTCTCTCTCCTCCCTTTGTTTTCCTTGGGTTTCTGTTCATCATTCTCTGTCCTCCTATCACCTGTGTACCTTCATCCCCTTCTATCCTGGCATCTCAGAACATCTCCAACCTTCACCGTTTGTGTCTGTTTTCCTACAGCTCTGATCCCCTCCTGCCTCCCCTTCTTGTCCTTGTTTGATCTCAGGAGGGGACAGATATAGCTTGGGGGGATATGTGTGTACGTGCGTATTTGTATATGGGGCGGGGAGGAGGAGGAGGAGAAATGGACATGGCTATATGGCTATCCATCTCTGTCACCTTCCGTCCCCCACCATCGTCTTTGTGGACAGCTGCGGGGGGCTGGGAGGAAGGGGAGGTACTTTTCAAATCACAGTCCCTGAGCTTTTTGGGGCAGTGGTTATTAAAAGGGAGGGACCCTGGAATCCTTCACCTTCACCATGGGGGACAAAGGTAGTGTCTGCTGCAAAAATTGACAGAACATTTTGCCTAGGAAAAGGCTGGGGGGAAGAGTGTGTACGGGTGGGATTTGGGACATCTGGAGGCTGGATGACCATTTGGGAATCCTACTACCTCTGTACCTTGAAGGAAACAGTTTTGGTTCCAGATCTGGGTTCTAGATCAGTGGGTAGTATTAACAGCCCTAGTTTAAGGACTGAGTCCTGGTGGGCTTTATTTAGGTGAAGGGGTAAAGGAGCTGTTGTTTTGGGGAAGATAAAAGAATATGGTTCTGTGTCCTCATCCCCAGATCTTGGGACAGGTCTACTTTTGGTGTTCAGGGCATCACCTAGACTGCCCACTCAGCCTCCCATACCCGTTCCCCCTCAGACAACCAGTTCCGGATGTCCATACTAGAGCGACTGGAGCAGATGGAGAAGCGGATGGCAGAGATCGCAGCAGCTGGGCAGGTGCCTTGCCAGGGTCCTGATGCTCCTCCAGTTCAGGTACTTCTGTGAGGAGGGAGGTGGTCTACGGTGGGGAGCAGGGGGAGGACACAGCTAAAGAAAACATCTAGTGCCCATGACTCTCCTCCCTCTCCTGTCCCCAGCCTCCTCAGCCTGTCTTCCCTCTCCCTGACGTCACCCTGTTCCCATCCCCACCTTGTGGCAAGAGTGGCTATTCTGGGCACCCTCTTGGCATGACGGGCTTCAGACTATTTCTGGTCTGAAGAAGGGTGGAGGTGAAGGAGAGGGCGGGGGAGGGGTCAGGAGCACTGGGGCTCAGATCTCTGTGGGTCCCAAGTTTCTGAAAGAAGAGGGCTAAGGCTCAGAGAAGGCTCTGGCTTCTGAGGGGGAGAAGCCATGTGTGAACATGGCACTAATCTGAGCTGATGGGAAGGCACATGGGCAAGATTGTGTGAGGTCTGGCTGCTGGAGGAAGTGGCTGTGGGAGCAAGAGACACAGGCCACAGAGGAACTTCAACTGATGGGATCCTAGAGTGGGACATGTGGGGAGGGGGCAAAATTAGAAGCTGGGAGGACAGATGTGAGGTGGCCAAGGCCACCTCAAGCCAGGGGAGTAGATACCTGGGTCTCTGCCTAAGAGTGTGTATATCGCAGGATGAAGGCCAGGGGCCTGGGTTCGAAGCACGGGTAGTGGTCTTGGTAGAAAGCATGATCCCACGCTCCACCTGGAAGGGTCCTGAACGTCTGGCCCATGGAAGCCCCTTCCGGGGCATGAGCCTTCTGCACCTGGCTGCTGCCCAGGGCTATGCCCGCCTCATCGAGACCCTGAGCCAGTGGCGGTGAGCAAGGGCAGCTGGGTGAGGGCTGGGCAGCCTCTGGGACAGAAGTGTCAGGGGACTGAAGAGGAATTGGAGGACCTGGGGCCCTACCAAGAGGGAGTTGGGGTCATTGTGGGAAGGGAGGGGGTTGGGAGAGGACTTATATTTTGGGGAACTTTCATATCCTGACTTACAACACTTTGACTTCTTGACCTCCTTAAGCTAGTGTCCTTGACTGCCTCTTCCCACCGGCCCTGTACAGCTTGCCTCCTAGTGCCTTTACTTCTGATGTTCCTGCTTTGCCCACTTTTTCCCTCATTGGGCTCTGCTGTCTCTCTCCCAAACCCTCCAGGAGTGTGGAGACTGGAAGCTTGGACTTAGAGCAGGAGGTTGACCCGCTCAACGTGGATCATTTCTCTTGCACCCCTCTGGTGAGGATGACGGATTCCTGAGCGCATATGGGGCAGGGAGCAATGGGAACAGCCCTTGAAAAGGAAGATCCTGAGGAATGCAGGGAGTGGGGTGGGCTGGGGCCTGAAGACCTGACTACCTGGAGGAAGAGCCCCTGGCCTCACCTCCACCTCCGTCTCCGCCTGTCCCGCCCCCTTCCTCAGATGTGGGCTTGTGCCCTGGGACACCTGGAAGCTGCTGTGCTCCTTTTCCGTTGGAACCGACAGGCACTGAGCATTCCCGACTCTCTGGGCCGTCTGCCATTGTCTGTGGCTCATTCCCGGGGTCATGTGCGCCTTGCCCGCTGCCTTGAGGAACTACAGAGACAGGAGCCTTCGGTGGAGCCCCCATTTGCCCTATCGCCACCCTCCTCCAGCCCAGACACTGGTGAGGGTGGCCCTAATCTTTTGGAGAGAGGGATGTAGGTAGGAGGATAGGCCAGGACAAAGCCAAAGGGTGTGGGAAACGAGTAAGAGAGGAGACAAACCACAGAGGCAGGGATGGGAGATAACAGAAGCAAGAACAGACGGGGACCGAGAACAGGATGGGGAAGGCAGGAGACTTGAGCGAGGGATGGCCGTGGCTCCGGCTGCCCTCACTCTCTTCCCTCCCCACACAGGTCTGAGCAGCGTCTCCTCGCCCTCGGAGCTGTCGGATGGCACCTTTTCCGTCACGTCAGCCTATTCTAGTGCCCCAGATGGCAGTCCCCCCCCTGCACCTCTGCCAGCCTCTGAGATGACTATGGAGGACATGGCCCCAGGCCAGCTTTCCTCTGGTGTCCCAGAAGCCCCCCTACTCCTCATGGACTATGAGGCTACCAACTCCAAGGGGCCCCTCTCCTCCCTTCCTGCCCTCCCACCAGCTTCAGATGATGGGGCTGCTCCAGAGGACGCTGACAGCCCACAGGCTGTGGATGTGATCCCGGTACTGCTTATATTGATGGAGTTATGGGGGCTAGAAGTGGAGTAGGAAGGGTGAGGCCGACTTCCATGAAGCAGAATCAAAGTCTGGCTTCAGTTTAGGAAGGGCCTATTTACTTCATTTTGGGACAGGCAAGGTAGCCTTTTGCTTAGCTCCTTTTAGACCATGTGACTTGGAAGTCATGAGGCAGCGGAGGTTGAAAATTCTGGCTGGTCCCACAATACAGATGTTGGAAAAAAAAAATTTGGCCGGGCTTGGTGGCTTACGCCTGTAATCCCAGCACTTTGGGTGGCCAGGGCGGGTGGATCACTTCAGGCCAGGAGTTTGAGACCAGCCTGGGCAACATGGCGAAACCCCCTCTCTACAAGAAATACAAAAATTAACTGGGCACTGTGGTATGTGCCTGTAATCCCAGCTGTTTGAGAGGCTGAGACACAAGAATCACTTGAACCCAGGAGGCACAGGCTGCAGTGAGCCGAGACTGCACCACTGCACTCCAGCCTGGGTGACAGACTGAGACTGTCTCAAAAAAAAAAAAAAAAAGACAAAATAGTAAGATTTAAAATATAAAAAGCATTAAAAAATATTCTGGCTGGGTGCGGTGGCTCACCCCTGTAATCCCATCACTTTCAGAGAACGAGGTGGGAGGATCACTTGAGAACAGGGGCTTGAGACCAGTCTGGCCAACATAACAAGACCCCATCTCTACACAAAATAATTTTTTAAAAATAGGCATGGTGGCACACACCTGTAGTTGTAGCTACTTGGGAGGCTGAGGTAGGAGAACCCCTTGAGCCCAGGAATATGAGGTTGCAGTGAGCTGACTGTGCCATTGCATTCCAGCCTGGACAAGAGACCCTGTCTCTATAACAAAAATTCTAGGGAATATCTTCAGTTAGAGCTGGTTTGTAGGAGTTAACCGTTGATCTATGTAGGGACAAGGTTCTAGGAGAACCAAGATGACGGAGGGCAGCTGGGAGTTGTGTGGAGAGGTAAGGCTGGCAAGATGAGGGTATTTGGCAGTGATCTGATGCAGGAAGGAGGCTTGCACATGATAAAGCTAAGAAAGTCTTGTGGAATGAAAGTGAATCTTCAAGTATAGCCTTGTACTTCTCTGATAGAGACTGGGGACATACCTGCTTTAGAGAGACTAATGGAGTAAGTGGGTGGCACTTTAAGTACAAAAAACTTAGGGAACTCCACAAGTAGGTTGTGTTGAGTGTGTCCAGCAGGAAGTGCTGGAGTATAGGCTTCAGGGCTGGAGCAAAGGCCAGACTGGAGCCATTCATCCGGGTAGTAGTTGGCAAGTGTTGGAATGGTTCTTGGAGAGTTGAAAGGGAGCTGGGGGTGGGCACAGCCAAGCCTATGGGGAGCATGTGCTGGTCAGCTGGCATGGGGCAGGCCCAGGTAGGACAGTGGATGGTTGGCCTGAAAGGGTGTCAAGTCCTCCATTTGTTCAGCTTTGAATCCCCACTTGGAGTATCTCCTTTTTATCCTATATTCTCCATAGCATCTCAGCACAGAGGGACCCCCAAGTGGGAGCCCCATCAGTATAAATGAATGAGTCTGGAACAGTGGCCCAGAAAGACAGGGTTAGCAGCACCTGGCAGGGAGAGAAGGAACAAGATAGGAATGGACTGAGGTTACAGCTGGCAGCTGGGGCCCCTAAGGACTCACTCAGCTTCTCCCTTCTTCCAGGTGGACATGATCTCACTAGCCAAGCAGATCATCGAAGCCACACCGGAGCGGATTAAACGAGAGGACTTCGTGGGGCTGCCCGAGGCTGGAGCCTCAATGCGGGAGCGGACAGGGGCTGTGGGGCTCAGTGAGACCATGTCCTGGCTGGCCAGCTACCTGGAGAATGTGGACCATTTCCCCAGCTCAACCCCTCCCAGGTGACTAGCTCAGGACAAAGCCTCCAGATTCTTCAAAGGAAGATGGGAGGAAGGGAGAAAGCTGGCTTTCCCACAGCCAAAGCTCCATTCTGGCTGAGGCCCCAGGGCCTTGGAGAAGCGAACTGAACTGGCTGATGAACTCTGAAGTCACTCTCCAGACTCAGTTGCTGGTGGTTTTCCTTCGTAGCCATCCATAGGTGGCAGAGGAGGGACTTCAGATGCTTCATGACACCCTCTTTCCCTACCGCCTACAGCGAACTGCCCTTTGAGCGAGGTCGCCTGGCTGTCCCTTCAGCACCCTCCTGGGCAGAGTTTCTCTCTGCATCCACCAGTGGCAAGATGGAAAGTGATTTTGCCCTGCTGACACTATCAGATCACGAGCAGCGGGAACTGTATGAGGCTGCCCGAGTCATCCAGACGGCCTTCCGAAAGTACAAGGTCAGGGGCAGGGGTCTCAGGATGAATTACACAATCTCCAGTCAGGGGAGACTGGGCTCCCAGGGCTTTTGGAGGATGAGTAGTCGTGCAGACAGGCCTTGGATGGGGTAAAGGGTCAGGGGAACCCCAGGAAAGTTGAAGGGACAAGTCAGATATGCCATTATGTGGGTCATGAGGTGGTGAGACTTCTCTCCCTTCAGGGCCGGCGGCTGAAGGAGCAGCAGGAGGTAGCAGCAGCTGTAATCCAGCGCTGTTACCGGAAGTACAAGCAGGTGAGACCCTTCTCCCTCAAAAGTGTAACCAGCAACCCACCAACCCACACCCACGCCTAACCATTCCAGAATGTTGCCAGAGCCCTAACTCCCCTTCTCTCTCCACAAGCTGACCTGGATTGCACTTAAGGTATTAGGCATGAGCTCTGAGTGTGAGGTCTGTGATGATTCAGTCTTTCCTTGAGTGTGTGGGTTACAGAGAGTCTTGCATCAGCCTAACTTGGGTGAGCCTCAGGGCTTTGGGTCTCCGTCCCTCTATTTCAGCCCCTGTCCCTCCTCCCCACCCCTGCAGTTTGCACTCTATAAGAAGATGACCCAGGCGGCCATCCTGATCCAGAGCAAGTTCCGAAGCTACTATGAACAGAAGCGATTTCAGCAGAGCCGCCGAGCGGCTGTGCTCATCCAGCAGCACTACCGCTCCTACCGCCGCAGGCCCGGCCCTCCCCACCGGACTTCGGCCACCCTGCCTGCCCGCAACAAGTAGGGCCCAGCCCCAGCCCTCTGTGCCCACCCACTGCATCCACGCCATTCCCCCTTACTCATCCTCTTGATCATCATGCCTCACTGCCATTCCCTGCCTAGGGTTCCTGGGGGGGCCGAAGGCATGCGATGCCTTCTGTGAGGTCCATCTTTTGTTTCTTTCACCAGAGGCTCCTTTCTCACCAAGAAGCAGGACCAGGCAGCCCGGAAGATCATGAGATTCCTGCGGCGCTGCCGACACAGGTACTCATCCCTTCTCCCCCTGGGCTTTTGCGTTGCCACCCGTCGTGATCCGCCAGTCTCCTCTGACTCCTATCTTTCTCTCTGCAGGATGAGGGAACTGAAGCAGAACCAGGAGCTGGAAGGGCTTCCCCAGCCGGGACTGGCCACATGACCTGGCCACCGCCTTTCTCACCACCCTGGGGGCGCCTCGTGCAGTCTTAACAGGGAGAGGGCTTTCTGGGGCAGGGGGAGCCCCTGTCGGCAGCTTTCCTGTTCACCTTTGTTGGAGCCCTCTGTAGGCCTCCTCCCTCCTCCCCACGCCTTGCTCCCACACCCCTCTCCTCGTCCCTCCTGGTCGTGCCCCGTCTCTTTTGGTCCTGGCTCCAGAAAACCCGCGCCCCACATACCTGCATCTTCCGCTGTGACCTCCGGAGCCCTGCCTGCCCCTGCTCCCCAGCTCCTCCTGCCTGCACCCGACTCGGCCCCCTCCTGACTTGCCTTATTTATTTGTTCGACGCGTCTCTGAATGTATCCGCCTCGGTTCCCACCACTGCCTTCGCTGCGCACGCCCCTCGTGTTTCAGGGCTGACCGTGTCCCCACCCGACTCCGCATGTTTGCGTCTGTTTCCTCCCTCTCTGGCCCTGTCTTACCCCATCACCCGACTCTGGCCACTGACCTCAGGGCCGAAGGGGAGGTGGTGTACATAGGAACGCGTTGCGGAGTCCGCCCCGTCCCCCGAGGGGAGGGGTCTTGTACATACTGTAACATACAGAGTATAGTGAAGAATCTATTTAAGGCGCCGCGGGGAGGGCTGCACGGCCGGGCTTGTGGTTCTCTAGCGCGGCGGGGGCCTCCTGCCGGCTCCACGGGCACTTTCTACTTGTGCATGGGCTTGGTTTATACGAATTGCCATTAAACATCGCTGCACCAGCCAGCCTCCGGCCTCTGTCTGCGGGGGCGGGGCGGGGCCTAGGCCAGCTGGAGGCCGCCATGCACCGCGGGCCTGGGATCTGCGCCCAGGCCAGGCGGGCCCAGGGTTTTCCGCCTCCGACGTGTTTCCGGCCTTAAAGGCATTCCGCCCTTCCCTTTAAGACGCACCGCCCCCTCTCAGTCACTCCCAAGATGGCGGACCTACTGGGCTCCATCCTGAGCTCCATGGAGAAGCCACCCAGCCTCGGTGACCAGGAGACTCGGCGCAAGGCCCGAGGTGAGGATCCCAAATTCACAACCGCCTTCCTTCGCCCGGTTCTCGGGACCATACTTCTCCCTCTTTGGACGATGCCGCCTCCTCAACCTTGAAAGACCCCTCACAGGCCCCTTCCGAGACCCTCAGAGTCCCTAAAAGGGCTGCTGACACGCCCGCTGTTCTTAGCGGACAGTGATTGGCTACCTGAAAGATAGCGCCAGCCTCCTGCCTCTTCTCCCGACCCTGGCCTTCCGCAGTCCTTGTTTCCCATTAGCCGGCCGTCCCGCCTGTCCGCTGCTGACCTGGTCTGATTGGTAGGGTGCCTCCAACCTGCCGCATTCCTGCCCCGCTCACCTCTAGCTCTATTTCGATTGGATTTAGGACACGCCATCTACTGTGCCTTCATCTCTATTGGCTATCTCAACTTAAAGCTCTGCCTCCTCAGGCCTGTTCGACCTTCCTTCGAAACCACCCCAGCCTGCGAATTCCCATTGGTTGCAGGGTCCTCTGTGTGTTCTTGCCCCTCCTGCTTAATTTAACCCAGTCCCTTCTGCCTCCCTCCGACAACCTTTTTCCCATCCGTAGCCTTAAATTCCCGAGCTGCCCGGGCGGATCGTAGTGTTGATTGGAGGGATGAGAATACCCGCCGGGTCCGATTGGCCACTGTCTCCGCCTGCGTTCTCGGAGTAGCTTCCCTGCGGGTGGGCTGGAGTTCGGCGGCCGGCGTAGGGCGCGGCCCTGCAGGGCGGTGGGAGCCTCCCCGGGGCTGCTCGTGTTGCAGCTTGGGATGATACTGGCGGAACGCAGGACCCCAACTCCCAAACCTGCGGACCTTGACCACGGACGAGCCCTGTCCCAGCTCCCCACGTGCCCCAGGGGGACCAGAGCAGGCAGGACGCCTTCCAAGTATTCAAGGGCCGCTGGTTGCCTACGCTTCGTCCCCTTGTTTCTTGAACAACCGTTAGGGACCAGGGGTACCCCTCAGGGAGGCCACAGTCCGGGGCTGGGGCGCTCATTGATGCAGTGATCACACGTAAGTTTAATAACCAACTTGATAAGTGCTCTGAGAGAAAAATAACTGTGAGAGCGGCCACCTGAGGTTCTCCCCCAATCTGCAGTGAGCCGAGATCAGAACAGGTAATTCCGTAAATGAGAGAGAGAAGCAAAGCGTTACAGGCAGAAGAGTCTATTTGAAATCTCTGAGAAAGGAGGAAGCATGATGGGAATGGGGAACTGGAATTCTCTAATGCTCCGATGACTGTCTAAGTGGGGGATCACCCGGCATTGACAGACTGGGAAGCTTAAATGAGTCACTCGCCTGAGGTCACATGGTTAGTTTGGTAAGTGGCAGGGTTTCAAACCCAGGTATGACTGGGCTCGAAGCCTATGTTCTTGACCATAATCTTGTGCCACTTCTCTAGATGCAGAGAAGACTCGAAAACCAGTTAAAGAACAGTCAGTGGGGCCCGGCCTTGTAGCTCACACCTTTAATACCACCACTTTGGGAGGCCGCGGCGGACGGATCGCTTGAGCCCAGGAGTTCAAGACCAGTCTGGGCAACATGGAGAAACCCCATCTCTACAAAAAATACAAAAATTGGCCGGGCTCACGCCTGTAATCCCAAAACTTTGGGAGGCCAAGGCGGGCAGATCACGAGATCAAGAGATCGAGAGCATCCTGGCCAACATGGTGAAACCCCGTCTCTACTAAAAATACGAAAATTAGCTGGGCGTGGTGGCGCGTGCCTGTAGTCCCAGCTACTCAGGAGGCTGGGGCAGGAGAATCAGTTGAACCCAGGAGGAGGAGGTTGCAGTGAGCCGAGATTGCGCCACTGTACTCCAGCCTGGCGACAGAGCGAGACTCCGTCTCATAAATAAATAAATAAATAGATAAATAAATAAATAAATAAATAAACATTAGCTGGGCTTGGTGGCGCGCTCCTATGGTCCCAATTCTCGGGAGGCTGAGGTGGGAGAATCGCTTGAGTCTGGGAGGTTGAAGCTGCAGTGAGAGGTGATTGCGCCACTGCACTCCATTTTGGGCGATGAAGTTGAGACTGTTTCCAACAACAAAAGATGAAATGCGCTGATGGTCAGTGAGGACAGAGGGATGAGAGCTCATAAGCTGTCAGGCCCTGGGGCTCCAGAGGATAACTGAACAGTAGATCAACAGGGTCCCTGCCCTCCAGGAGCTCATACTATGCTGAAGGAGACAAAAAAAAAAGAAGTTATGATACGTTAGTTCTCTGTCTATGCTGCTGGGTGTCTCAGCCAAAGGAGCTTGGAGCCCAGGGGAAGAAGTAACTGACTCACGGTAGATCTCAATGTTTGCAAGAGGAGGAAAAGCATTCCAAGCAGAGGAACAACGTGTGCAAAGGCATGGAGTTATTTGAAAAATGGGGAGAGGGCTCATGCCTATAATCCCAGCACTTTGGGAGGCTGAGGCGGGCAGATCACTTGAGGTCAGGAGTTCAAAACCAGGCTGGCCAACATGGCGAAACATCGTCTCTACGAAAAATACAAAAAAATGGGCGGGCGTGGTGGCTCACGCCTGTAATCCCAACACTTTGGGAGGCTGAGGCGGGCGGATCACCTGACGTCGGGAGTTCGAGACCAGCCTGACCAACATGGAGAAGAAAGCCCATCTCTACTAAAAATGAAAAAATTAGCCAGGTGTAGTGGCACATGCCTGTGATCCCAGCTACTCGGGAGGCTGAGGCAGGAGAATCACTTGAACCCGGGAGGCAGAGGTTGCAGTGAGCCAAGATTGCACCATTGCACTCCAGCCTGGGCAAAGAGAGCGAAACTCCATCTCAAAAAAAGAAAAAGAAAAAAAAAATTAGCCGGGTGTGGTGGTTCACACCTGTAATCCCAGCTACTCGGGAGGCTGAGGCATGAGAATCACTGGAACCCGGGAGGCAGAGGTTGCAGTGAGCCGAGATCGCGCCACTGCACTCCAGCCTGGGCACACAGCGAGACTCTGTCTCGAAATAAATAAATAAATGATGGGGAGAGGTTCAGTGCAGCTGGAGAGGATTCAGATCCTGGGGAAGAAGGAGGCCTTAAAGATGTAAAGGATTTGGCCGGGTGCGGTGGCTCACGCCTATAATCCCAGCACTTTGGGAGGCCGAGGCGGGTGGATCATGAGGTCAGGAGATCAAGACCATCCTGGCTAAAACGGTGAAACCTTGTCTCCACTAAAAATACAAAAAATTCTCCAGGCGTGGTGGCGGGCGCCTGTAGTCCCAGCTACTTGGGAGGCTGAGGCAGGAGAATGGCGTGAACCCGGGAGGCGGAGCTTGCAGTGAGCGGAGATTGCGCCACTGCACTCCAGCCTGGGCGACAGAGCGAGACTCCGTCTCAAAAAAAAAAAAAAAAAAAAAAGATGTAAAGGATTTGAAATGGCAAAAGAGAAAAAAATTTCAGGCTGAGGAGCAGGAGTAGGAAGAAGCATGCACCCAAATCTCTAGAGGTAGTAAAATCACATCGTGGGGAAGACAGGCAAGCATGGAGGGCCCGGGTTAGAAATTCTTCCTCCTCCTCCAGAGGCAGAGGGGATCTGGCGCAGAGGCAGGATCTAAGGAAGAGGAAGAAAGTTAAATAAGACCCTTAGCCAGGCGAGGGGACTCACAGCTGAAATCCCAGCACTTTGGGAGGCTGGTCTTGAACTCCCAGCCTCAAGTGATCCTCCCACCTCGGCCTCTCAAATTGCTTGAGAAGCTTGAGTCTCTGCACCCAGACCTGGCTAATTTTTTTAAAAAAAGTTTTCTGTAAAGATGGGGTCTCGGGCATCTTCAGGCAAGAGGCAGGCAGATACCTTGAGCCCAAGAGTTCAGAAAAAGAAGACCCTTCACAGCTAACCTTGGACACCTACACTCCCAAAGGAGAAGGGTGTCAGATTATCTATTTCAGCTTCATCCTGTCTATAGAAGTGGGAAGTGGGGGATTTTACAAAATATAGAAAGTTAAATAATTTCCCCTTTCCAGCTGGGCACGGTGGCTCAAGCCTGTAATCCTGGCACTTTGGGAGGCCGAGGCAGGTGGATCACAAGGTCAGGAGTTCGAGACCAGCCTGGCCAATATGGTGAAACCCCATCTCTACTAAAAATACAAAAATTAGCTGGGCGTGGTGGCACATGCCTATAGTCCCAGCTACTCAGGAGGCTGAGGCAGAAGAATCGCTTGAACCCAGGAGGCGGAGGTTGCAGTGAGCCAAGATCGTGCCACTGCACTCCAGCCTGGGCGACAAAGCGAGATTCCATCTCAAAAAAAAAAAAAAAAAAAAAAAAATTCCCCTTTCCTGTGTAAACGAGATGACAGACTCTTTGAGGCCAGGGTCTTAGTCTGTTTTCCTCACCTTCCCAGATGCATTATGGTTTGTTTTTGTTTTTGTTTTTGACAGGGTCTTGCTCTGTCACCTAGACCTCTCAGGCTCAAGTGATCTTCCTACCTCAGCCTCCCGAGTAGCTGGGACTACAGGCATGCATCATCATGCCTAATTCTTTATTTTTTATAGAGACAGGGTCTCACTATATTGCCTGCACTGGTCTGGAGCTCCTGGCCTCAAGCAGTCCTCCCACCTTGGCCTTCCAAAGTACTGGGATTACACACGTAAGCCACCACGCTCAGCCCAAACATTTATTTAATGCCCACAATGTACAAAGAACTAACTATAGTCCAGGCATGGTGGTTCACACCTATAATCCCAGCACTTTGGAAGGTCAAGGTGGGAGGATTACTTGAGGCCAACTGGAGACCAGGATGGGCAACAAACTGAGACCCCATCTTAACAGAAAACTTAAAAAAAAAAAAATTAGCCAAGGCTGGGTGCAGAGGCTCAAGGCTTTCAAGCAATTTGAGAGGCCCAGGTGGGAGGGTTATTTGAAGCCGAGTTCGAGACCAGCCTGGGCCCACACTTGTAATCCTAGCACTTTGGGAGGCTGAGGCGGGCGGATCACGAGGTCAGGAGTTCGAGACCAACCTGACCAACATAGTGAAACCCCGTCTCTAATAAAAATACAAAAATTAGCTGGGTGCTAATTGCACCCAGCCTGGGTGACAGAGTGAGACTCCGTCTCAAAAATAAAAATAAAATAAAATAAAAATACCATCCTGGGCAACATAGTGAGACCTCATCTCACAAATATTTTTAATTATTTTTTAAACAGTAGCTGAGCATGGTGGCACACGCCTGTGGTCCCAGCTACTTGAGAAGCTAAGGTAGGAGGATCCCTTGAGCCAGGGAGGTCAAGGCTGCAGTGAGCTGTGATTGTGCCACTGCACGCCAGCCTAGGCAATAAAGTGATATCCTGTCCCAAAAATAAATAGGCCGGGTGCAGTGGCTCACGCCTATAATTCCAGCACTTTTGGGAAGGTGAGGCGGGGGGATCACTTGAGCTCAGGAGTTCAAGACCAGCCTGGCCAACATGGTGAAACCCCATCTCTACTAAAAATACAAAAATTAGCCGGGTGTGGTGGCACATGCCTGTAATCCCAGCTACTTGGGAGGCTGAGGCAGGAGAATCGCTTGAACCTGGGAGACGGAGTTTGCAGTGAGCTGAGCTCATGCCACTGCACTCCAGCCTGGGTGACAGAGTGAAACTCCATCTCAAAAATAAATAAATAAATAGATATTTGTTAATTGGTTTCCCCAGTGGAGTTGGGAAAGGGGGTTAAGCATTATTCTGATCTTTGTCACTCCCACTAAACTGGGAGCTCTTGAAGGGCCACATTGTGTCTTAATAATCTCAGTACTTCAGGGTCTCGCCTGGTGCCAGATACAGTAGTCCCTACTTCTCCCTTATCCAAGGTTTTGCTTTCCAAGGTTTTAGTTACCTGCAGTCCAGAACTGTTATATACAGTAAGATATTTTGAGAGAGAGAGAGAGCATAGCCACAAACTTTTATTTCAGTACATTGTTATAATTGTTCTATTGTATTATTGTTATTCTTAATCTCTTTTTTTTTTTTTTTTTTTTGAGATGGAGTCTTGCTGTGTCGCCCAGGCTGGAGTGCAGTGGCGCCATCTCTGCTCACTGCAAGCTCCGCCTCCCAGGTTCACGCCATTCTCCTGCCTCAGCCTCCCGAGTAGTGGGGACTACAGGCGCCCACCACCACACCCAGCTAATTTTTTGTATATTTTTTTTTTTTTAGTAGAGACAGGGTTTCACCGTGTTAGTCAGGATGGTCTCGATCTTCTGACCTCATGATCCATCCACCTTGGCCTCCCAAAGTGCTGGGATTACAGGTGTGAGCCACTGCACCCGGCCATCTCTTTTTTTTTTTTGAGACGGAGTTCACTCTTGTTGCCCAGGCTGGAGTGCAATGGCGCGATCTCAGCTCACTGCAATCTCTGCCTCCCAGGTTCAAGCGATTCTCCTGCCTCAGCCTCCCCAGTAGCTGGAATTATAGGCGCCCACCACCACACCCGGCTAATTTTTGTATTTTTAGTAGAGATGGGGTTTCACCATGTTGACCAGGCTGGTCTCGAACTCCTGACCCCAGGAGATCTGTCTGCCTCGGCCTCCCAAAGTGCTGGGATATAGGCGTGAGCCACCATGCCTGGTCTATTATTCTTAATCTCTTACTGTGCCTAATTTATAAATTAAACTTTATCATAGGCATGTATGTATAGAAAAAGACATAGTATGTATAGGGGTCAGTACTATCCACAATTTCAGGCATCCACTGAGGGTCTTGGAATGAACCCCTGTGGATAAGGGGGACTATTAGATAGAATAAACATCAATAAATGCTTGATGAATAAACGCTAATCCTACCTTCCCAGCCTGACACCTCCCAGTGGACACCACACTTCACTTGAAGCCTTAGAAACCTTTCCCACCCATGCTTCCAGCCCTGGCTTCATGTTGCCATTTCTCACCCCCAGAACAGGCCGCCCGCCTGAAGAAACTACAAGAGCAAGAGAAACAACAGAAAGTGGAGTTTCGTAAAAGGGTGAGAACAACTGGAGTGATCAAAGGCAGACTCAGGAAGGACTTCCAATAAGTTAAAATTGGAAGGTTGAGGACTCAGTTTTGCTGAAAATGTCTTGAGAGAGGTGACGCATGGAAGCCAGTGGCTTGGAGGCTGGGGAGGGTGCTGGGGAGGCGTAGAAGGGCCCAGGCTCAGCTAGGGAGAGGGGTACTTGGGTGGAGCCATTGTCTCATATCTGCTTCCTTTCCCCTCTCCCAAGATGGAGAAGGAGGTGTCAGATTTCATTCAAGACAGTGGGCAGATCAAGAAAAAGTTTCAGCCAATGAACAAGATCGAGAGGAGCATACTGTGAGTGTCCCTGGGCTGGGGGAGGAAGGAAATGGGTGGCTAGCGGGGCATGAAAGGGCCAGCGGGGGGCTCCTCCAGAGGAGGGCACTAGGCCCGCTCCTGGCTCAAGATGCTCTTTCCCCTCTGCCATCCCATCCCAGACATGATGTGGTGGAAGTGGCTGGCCTGACATCCTTCTCCTTTGGGGAAGATGATGACTGTCGCTATGTCATGATCTTCAAAAAGGTAAAGGGCCTGAATTCCTCATTCTCTCCTCTCCCCTTTGTAGCCTTATCCCCCCTCCCCGACCAAGGAATGAAATGAAACATTTGTATGGACTCTGACCCCATCATTCTGCTCTTCTTCAGGAGTTTGCACCCTCAGATGAAGAGCTAGACTCTTACCGTCGTGGAGAGGAATGGGACCCCCAGAAGGCTGAGGAGAAGCGGAAGCTGAAGGTGAGCTATGCTTTGCAGCCCTTGGGGTCCAGAAGCCCACCACCTGGGAGGGGTGGGGGTTTGGGCTGGGGCCCTGAGCACCAGTGCCCCCACTTTCACCCCTAGGAGCTGGCCCAGAGGCAAGAGGAGGAGGCAGCCCAGCAGGGGCCTGTGGTGGTGAGCCCTGCCAGCGACTACAAGGACAAGTACAGCCACCTCATCGGCAAGGGAGCAGCCAAAGACGCAGCCCACATGCTACAGGCCAATAAGACCTACGGCTGTGGTGAGGCCACAGTGCGGCTGGGGGTGGCTGGGAGAGGAGCATAGGATGCGGCAGGAGGGCAGTGGAGGCTGAGGTACGGATTTCTAGGCCCGCCCTACCCTCCTCTCTGCCCCTAGTGCCCGTGGCCAATAAGAGGGACACACGCTCCATTGAAGAGGCTATGAATGAGATCAGAGCCAAGAAGCGTCTGCGGCAGAGTGGGGAAGAGTTGCCGCCAACCTCCTAGGCGCCCCGCCCAGCTCCCTTTGACCCCTGGGGCAGGGCAGGGGGCAGGGAGAGACAAGGCTGCTGCTATTAGAGCCCATCCTGGAGCCCCACCTCTGAACCACCTCCTACCAGCTGTCCCTCAGGCTGGGGGAAAACAGGTGTTTGATTTGTCACCGTTGGAGCTTGGATATGTGCGTGGCATGTGTGTGTGTGTGTGAGAGTGTGAATGCACAGGTGGGTATTTAATCTGTATTATTCCCCGTTCTTGGAATTTTCTTCCCCATGGGGCTGGGGTACTTTACATTCAATAAATACTGTTTAACCCAATGTCCTGGTTTGTTTATACACAGAAAGGTGGGTCCTGGAACCACTGGTAGAGAAGAAGGGGAATAATTTTCAGTTGAACAGCATAAAATTGCTGTTTGTGTAGGTTAAAGATGGCCAGTTGGAACTATCAGAGGTTTTTTGTTTGTTTGTTTGTTTTGAGACAGAGTCTTTCTCTGTTGCCCAGACTGGAGTGCAGTGGTGTGATCTCGGCTCACTGCAACCTCTGCCTCCAGGGTTCAAGCGATTCTCCTGCCTTAGCCTCCTGAGTAGCTGGGACTACAGGCATGTGTCACCACACCCGGGTAATTTTTTGTACATTTAGTAGAGATGGGGTTTCACCATATTGGCCAGGCTGGTCTCTAACTCCTAACCTCAGGTGATCCGCCCGCCTCAGCCTCCCAAAGTGCTGGGATTGCAAGAGTGAGCCACTGTGCCCGGCCCAGAGGGTTTTGTAAGATGCTGTATTTTAAGAGTGCAATCGGGCTGGGCATAGTGGCTCACACCTGTAATCCCAGCATTTTAGGAGGCCAAGGCTGGAGGATCACTTGAGGTCAGGAGGTCAAGATCAGCCTGGGCAACATAGTGAGACTTTCTCTCTACAAAATTAAAAAATTGGTTGAGCGCAGTGGCTCACACCTGCGATCCCAGCACTTTGGGAGGCCAAGGCAGGAGAATCGCTTGACTCCAGGAGTTTGAGATCAGTCTAGGCCACAAACCTTCTCTACAAAAAGAAAATAAAATATACAAAATTTAAAAATTAGCCATACCTGGTGGTGTGCACCTGTAGTCCCAGCTACTTTGCAGGCTGAGGCAAGAGAATTGCTTGAGCCCAGGAGTTTGAGGCTACAGTGAACTATGATCGCATCACTGCACTCCTGCCTGGGTGACAGATCAAGAAGCTGGCTCAAAATAAATACATGAGAGTATAATCGCTGGAGTCAAATACCTTGGCTTTGGATCCTAGCCCTGCCAGCTGCCAACCGTTACCTTGGGTAAGGCATTTAACCTTTTGTGCCTCAGGTTTCCTCACCTATAAAATAAGGATAATTATGGCAGCTATCTGACAGAGCTGTTTGAACAATTGCACAGGGCAATATATGTCAAATATTTAGAACAGTTTCAGATCCTGTAAGTTCTTTTTTTTTTTTTTTTTTTTTTTGAGACAGAGTTTTGCTCTTGTTGCCCAGGCTGGAGTGCAATGGCACGATCTCGGCTCACTGCAACCTCTGCCTCCCGAGTTCAAGCGATTCTCCTGCCTCAGCCTCCGAGTAACTGGGATTACAGGCATGCACCACCATGCCTGGCTAATTTTTGTATTTTTTAGTAGAGATGGGGTTTCTCCATGTTGGTCAGGCTGGTCCCGAACTCCCGACCTCAGGTGATCCGCCCGCCTCGGCCTCCCAAAGTGCTGGGATTACAGGCGTGAGCCACTGTGCCCTGCCAAGATCCTGTAAGTTCTATAGGAGAGGCAGCCACTGTCATTATCACTCTCATCCTCACAAAGCCCTCCCTAGGACTGCAGCCTCACTCTAGCATCCTCTGCAGACCATTTACTTCACAGCCAGCTTCCCCTTCATGGTGGTGGCAGGACCCCAGTCCCCACCCTGCTCCCCTCTCCTGGAGCTGGTTTCTTATTCCCTCTGAAACTCTTTATTTAGTTTTTTTGTTTGTTTTTGTTTTTTTTTGTTGTTGTTGCTTTGAGACAGGGTCTTGCTCTGCAGCCCAGGCTGGAGTGCAGTGGTACGAACATAGTGTACTGCAGCCTCAACCTCCTGGGCTCAAGCGATCCTCTCAACTCAGCCTCCCAGGTATCTGGGACTACAGGCGAGCGCCACCATGCCCGGCTCCATTGGCAACTCTGCAGCTTCATTTTACCATATAGCATCTGCTTCCCCTACCTCCTTTGGAAATGTGAACACCTCTGTTGTTCTAGAACCACCCAGCTTCCTCTGTGAGTCCCTCACCTCCTCTTTGTCCTAGCAGGTTACATATCTATTTGCCTCCCCTCCCCGCCCCCATCTCGCCACCTCCTGTTTTCCCCAGCTCAGCCCAGAAACCAGCATCCCCTAGCTCCCACAAAGAAGCACACAGCTGTCTTGGTTGGCACCAGTGTTTATTTCAGGAAGCAGGTCTGGAAGACCTGGGTCTGTCCAGTGGAGTCCTGGAGCCTCCAGCTTCTCACTTGGCCTTCGGGTTACGGAACTTGCGTCCAGCAAAGATTGCCTTGTCCCCAAGAGCCTCCTCGATCCTAGAATGCAGGCAAGGTTAGGGCTGCTGAACTTCCAACCTAACAGCCTCCAGCACCCCAATGCCCAGGCCCACTGTTCCCGCTGTACCTCATGAGTTGGTTGTATTTGGCCAGACGCTCCGAGCGGCAGGGGGCGCCAGTCTTGATCTGATGAGGGAAGAAGAATTTGGAGGGTTAGGTGAGGCTGGAAAGGAGGGGTTGGACCTGGCCCCAAGGGAGCATTAACCTCAAAGGCAGGAGGCCAGGGACCCCAAGAAAACTTGGTGAGACACTCAGTAGAGAGAAGCTACAAGTACCTGTCCTGTGCAGAGCCCCACCACAAGGTCAGCAATGAATGTGTCCTCAGTCTCCCCAGAGCGGTGGCTCACCATCACCCCCCAGCCATTAGACTGAGCCAGTTTGCACCTGAGTGGAGAGGACATTTGATGTGGCCTTCTAGAACCTCCTCAGTGGGAAAGCAGGGGTTGGGTGGGGCCTCTCCCTTCTGTTTTGGGTAGCAAGCACTCTGCAGGGAGGGCAGTGACTAAGTTCTTTGGGAAGTAGGAGAGGAAAAGACTTATCTTGATTTCGGGCTCTTGAGATGCTGCTGAGAACAGCGGAATCTGAGAGAGGAATGGTGTGGGCTGGGGGTGGGGGGTCATGACAGAGCCACAGGGGCAAAGCTCTTGGAGTCAGGCCAAGGATTAGTCAAACAAAGTCTTGAGATCAAGGTGTGGGTAAGTCAGGTGCCAGGGGAAAGGTAAGCTTGGAGTTGGTGGGTAAGACTGTAGCTGGAGTGGGCAGAGCTGGGGCAGAGGCAGGCTATGGTGAGCCTCAGGGTCAGGAGGCACTCACGCCTGGATCGATTCGGTCACCGAGCCGATCTGGTTGACCTTCAGCAGCAGACAGTTGCAGGCCTTCTTCTCAACGGCCTGGGCAATCCTCTTGGGGTTGGTGACTGTCAAGTCATCCCCCACAATCTGGATGTTCACCCCCGAGAGGAAGGAGGTCCAAGTGGCCCAGTCATCCTGGTCAAAGGGGTCTTCGATGGAGACCACTGGTGGGGTTTGGAGCAGAGACAGGGCAGAGACAGAGCAGAGACAGGGCAGAGACAGGGCAGAGACAGAGCAGAGACAGGGCAGAGACAGGGCAGAGACAGGGCAGAGACAGAGCAGAGACAGGGCAGAGACAAGGCAGAGACAGGGCAGAGACACGGCTAGAGGTCAGAAGGAGCCTCATGGAGGGGTGACAGGGCAGAAGAGCTTAAATGGGGATTTTAATGGGGCTAAGAATTGGAAGGATCCAAGTCGATGGCAAAGCAGGTCACTGAAATCAGTATATTAGGCAGCTGCACGGGATTCGGGCAGGAACACTGGGACACCCGAACGCCTCACCAGGATAGTTCTTGATAAAGCTCTTATACAGCTCTCCGAGCTTCTCCCCAGTGATGTGCCGTGCGGGATCATCAGGCGACTTGAAGTCAAGATCGTACTTCCCATTGCGATAGAACTCAGATGCTGCCACATCCATGCCGATCACCACCTTGTCTGGGTAACCAGCCGCCTGGATGGCCGTCTTCAGCAGCTCCAGGGCTGGGGGAGGACCAAGAAAGGACCTGAGACTCCAGTGCCCCTTGTCTGCAGCCTCCCCTGCCCATGTGGAGATCCAGGGGGTCTGCCCCCCAGGGTGCTCAGCACTGACCCTCATTGTTCTCCAGGATGTTGGGTGCGAAGCCACCTTCATCACCCACATTGGTGGCATCCTTCCCATACTTGGCCTTGATGACCCCCTTGAGGTGGTGGTAGACCTCGGCGCCAATGCGCATGGCTTCCTTGAAGGAGCTGGCTCCCACAGGCAGAATCATGAACTCCTGCATGGCCAGCTTGTTTCCAGCATGGGAGCCCCCGTTGATCACATTGAAGGCCTGAGATGGGGAGAGGGTGTCTGGACCTGGGCCGGGGCATGAGAGCTCAAGAAGGGACAGGGGCGGGGGGTGTTGGGGTGGAAACCTGGCTTCCCTACTTACTAGCTCAGTGGTCTAGGATGAGTAGTTTTGCTCAAGAGCCTCTTTCCTCATTTCTTTCTTTTTTTTTTTTTTTTTTTGAGACGGAGTCTCACTTTGTCACCAGGCTGGAGTGCAATGGCGCAACCTCCGCCTCCCGGGTTCAAGTGATTCTCCTGCCTTAGCCTCCCTAGTAGCTGGGACTATAGGTGGGTGCCACCATGCCTGGCTAATTTTTGTATTTTTAGTAGAGACGGGGTTTCACCATGTTGGTCAGGCTGGTCTCGAACTCCTGACCTTGTGATCTGCCCGCCTCGGCCTCCCGAAGTGCTGGGATTACAGGCGTGAGCCACTGTGCCCAGCCTCTCTTTCCTCATTTCTGTAAAATGGGGATAGCACCTACTTCCCTGTAGGATCTTTTGCTGAAAATTAGAGAAATTGAATGTAAAGTTCTTAGCATGTGCCTAGTATATAATAGCTAACACTTTTATATAGCACTTACTACATGCCACGCACTAAGTACTTTACATGTATTAGCCCATTTCATTCTCAAAACACCTCTATTCATTGGTATCGTTATTACCCCCCATTTTACAGATGGGGAAACTGAGACAGAGCAGTTAAAGAACTTGCCTAAAATCATACAACTAATAACAGGCAGAGCCAGGATTCAAACCCAGCAATCTATCTCTAGAGACCATGCTCTTATGCAATCCTCCTAGTAAGTAACAAGAAATGGTAACATTATTATTGAGATTAAATTCAAAGAGTTTCCATTCATCAAGAAGGCACTGGTTTAAGAAGGACTCAAGAAGATACAAAGAAATGCCAAGATCTTTGCCTCAAAGAAACTCTCAATATGATTTGGGTGTAGGGTGTGGGGTTGGAACGAGGCTGGAGTTATCGAGCCTAGGATTGGAATGGGAAGGAACTGGGTTATATGGCAGGGAAGGAAGCACATAGAGCCTTCAGGGAAGGTTTGGATTGTGGAAGAGAGGGAGGGGTGGGACCACAGCAGGAGAGATTCAATTTCAGGAAACTGCTTCTTAGGAGCTGGTCTGAAAGGTGGATTTTCCAGGGGGGCCAACCCTGGCTGGGCGGGGTTGGCTCTGTCCAGGCGAGATCTGGGAAGGGCGGGTAGCTGCACTCACTGGCACTGGGAGTATGAGGTCAGGGTTCCCAGCGAGATCTGCGATGTGGCGGTACAGGGGGACCCCCTTCTCAGCTGCTCCCGCCTTACACACGGCCAAGGACACGCCCAGGATGGCATTGGCCCCAAACTTGGCTGGAAGGAGGCAAGCGGGAAGAAAGGATGAGAGCTTCTGCAGGGTTTGGGGTGGCTACTCCAGGAAGACGCCAGAGCTCCAAACCACTGAGCATGAAGAATTGGTTAACAGATCTCTCCCCAACAGCCTGAGTAGCCCTGGGAACCCCCACCCCGGGGGAATGTGTCAGCTGCATGTCTGTGTCCACAGCCCGGCCCAGGCCTGGCAGAAGGCAGGCATAGGAAATGCCTGTGGAATGAACACAAATCCATCCAGCTGCGGTGTGACCCAAAATGGGGGACCCAGAAATAACCCATCAGGCCTCACCCCATGGCCTCTCGCCATCTCTCCCACACCTCATCCCTTCCCCACCGCTAGCCCTTCACTCACACTTATTCTCGGTCCCATCTAGCTCAATCATAAATTTGTCAACTTTTTCTTGATCCACAACGCTTAGTTTCTGGAAGGGTGAGTTTGAGAAGGGAGAGCAGAGGTCAGATTTCTCAGAAGTCAGGGCACATGCAGGGGAAGGATAAGGGAAAATGTTTCGGGAGAGGCCTGTCTGGGCTGAGGGAGCAGGGGCATGGGGAGGAGGCTGCAGCGAGCGGGCTTCCCCACTTGCCTTTTGCAGCAGAGCAGGGCCCAGAGTATTGTTGATGTTCTCCACAGCCTTCAGGACTCCTAGACAGGCCAGAGGATGAGTTTTGGAGCTCAATCAACTGGGCCCCTTTCTGTGGACCCCAGCTCCTCAAGAGCCTTGGGGGTTCCAGTCCTCTACCCATTGTGCACCCATGTCCTAAAGCCGCCCACACAGGCTCCTTCTGCGCTGGTGTCTCCTCACCTTTCCCCAGGTAGCGGCCTTTGTCTCCGTCTCTTAGTTCCAGAGCCTCATAGATACCCGTGGAAGCCCCACTGGGCACAGCTGCTCGGAATCGGCCTGGGACAGGAGGAATTGGAAGATCACAGGGATGGCTGGGCGCGGTGGCCCATGCCTGTAATCCCAGCACTTTGAGAGGCCTAGGCAGGTGGATCACTTGAGATCAGGAGTTCAAGACCAGCCTGGCTAACATGGCGAAACCGTCTCTGCTAAAAATACAAAAATTAGCTGAGGCCGGGCGCGGTGGCTCACGCCTGTAATCCCAGCACTTTGGGAGGCCAAGGCGGGCGGATCACGAGATCAGGAGATCGAGACAATCCTGGCTGACACCGTGAAACCCCATCTCTACTAAAAATACAAAAAATTAGCTGTAGTCCCAGCTACTCGGGAGGCTGAGGCAGGAGAATGGCGTGAACCCGGGAGGCGGAGCTTGCAGTGAGCCTAGATCGCGCCACTGCACTCCAGCCTGGGCGACAGAGTGAGACTCCATCTCAAAAAAAAAAAAAAAAAATTAGCTGGGCGTGATGGCACAGGCCTGTAATCCCAGCTACTTGGGAGGCTGAGGCACAAGAATCACTTAAACCCGGGAGGCAGAGGTTGCAGTGAGCTGAGATTGCACCACTGCACTCCAGCCCGGGCCACAGAGCGAGACTCCATCTCAAAACAAAACAAAACAAAAAAAAGGACCTCACAGGGAGTCTCTCTACCTCTCAAAGGGCTGAGGTGTCCTCTCTGAGCTCAGGGACAGGAGGCAGTGCAGAGAGAGACTCCTGCTTCTCCTAGCTTCCAGCTCTGGTTCCACGTTGGAAGAAGGGGGCTTGGGAAGAAGTCTGGGAAAGGGAACCCGAGAGAAAGGAGAGGATATGGCACAGAACTGGGGGGCAAAGGCCAAAGGGTTGGGGTCTTCGGAGGCGAGCCTATCCAATGGGCCTTGTGTTACCCTTGGCCGTGTGCAGGTCCACCTCCACCGTGGGGTTGCCCCTGGAGTCCAAGATTTCCCGGGCAAAGATTTTCTGCATGGCCATGGCTGCAGGACAGGAGGTGTGAGTGAGTGTAGACAGTTGATCTCTTAAGGAACCAGAAATCCCTTGCCCTTTAAGATTCTTCCCCACTCCAAGAAGGCAGGTGCTGGAGCTAAAAATACCCTACAAAAAGGTCACAGACCAAAGAGGCAGGCGCAGCCCCCTCCCCCACTCAGAACAGCTCTTATTCCACCCTCCCATCCTAAGAATCCAGGGGCCTCTTATCTATAGCTCCTGGGATGCCACCGCTCACCAAGCCCCCACCTCCCCCAAGCCTCCACTTAGGCCTTCTCCTTCCACCCCTCTGGTCAAGCAGTCTGTTCTCCATGGCTGGTGGCCTTCAAATCCTTTCTGGTTCTCATTTTCCTGCTCCGAAATCTCCTTGGGCCCCCAATTCCCTATCAGGTTCCAGCTCTAGCTGCCCTTTTCTATCCATCCCTGCTGCCCTCCTCACAGCCTCCTTTCCCTAGATCCTTCGGTGTTCCCAGAGTTTGTCCCATCTGCTTGCTCCAGCCGCCCCTTCCCCCAGCTTTTTCAAGCATCTCCAGTCCCAGGAGGAAAAAAAGCAGAAATGTCCCCCACTTCCTCCAAGCCAATACCATGCTCACCCTTTACTACCTCCACCCCCAGGGCTGGAAGATTCACCCGACCTGGGATGTCTTCGCTGGAGGTTTGGATGGAGCTCCGAGTCTAGGTGGCAGCTGGGACAGTGTCAGCTCACCCCCTCTCAGGCTGCGCATTTATCCCTGAGCCACTCGGTCCCCAGCCAGCCCCGCCTCTCTTTCTCTCCATCCTCCCCCCTTCACACTGGGCTGGCAGCCAAGTGCCCACTACAGCCTGAAGCAGAAGCCTCTGGCCCTGGGCACCTGCCCCCTTACCAAAGGTCAACTACTATCCCCCACTTTCTGTCTCCCAATAACAGTCCCTGTTCTAATTCCACCCTTTGGGAGGAGCAAGGGAGGGGCTACAGATGAGGGGTCTCCCCCCACCCCAGGATTACATTCCCCTTTTGCAAACGTCAAGAGGAATGAGTGACCTTTAGGAAAGGCCAGGGGTAACCTGAGCCCTGCAAGGCTGGGGAGGGGGCCTGGAAGAGGGGCTGCAAGATTGACGTCCACACATGCTCAGATCGCTGGGCGGGCCTCTGTCCTCAGTGGGGGAAAGGACGGGACCCCCCACCCCAGAAGGCGAGAGGGTCTCACCTCTTAGGGTCCTCATAACGGCCATTCTCGGCGCCGCCCCATCCTACCCTCTCCAGGCCAGCCAGCGCCGGGATGAGTTAGGGGACAGGAAACGAATTTAGACAGGCCCTTTCGGCTGGCAAGGCGCCCGACTGATAACGCTGGGACAGCACTTGTCGCCCGGCGTGGGGACTGTCGGTCAGAGCCCCTTTCCCCATCGACTGTGGGCGCTCAGCGCACGGCCCCAGCCCATCAATGAATGGGGCTGAATCAACAGTGAACAAAAATGAATGGACCGAGGACGGGTGGCCTTTTGTGAGCTTCTGCACGCCTGGGGCTCTTCCGGCGCCCCACTTGTAGCACTGCGGGGAGGTAGGTCTCTGCCCTCGGTAGAGATCTCCACTTTGCCGGCTCTGGGGCCAGTGCGGGGTCTGCCCCGAGCTCCTCTGCAGCCATACCAGCCGACCGGCGGGGGACACACGGCGCCTCGGCCCGACTCGGAGGCCCTTCCCGTCGGCGCCGGGGCAGCGCGCGCCCGGTGACTCACCCCCGCCGCCCTCTCCCCACCCCTGCTCCCCGCCCCGCCGGCCCGCGCGGCCTCCCAGCCCCCACCCCAGGCCACCTGCCCCGCCACCCGTCCAGTCTCCCCTCTCGCCCCGCCCCCTCATCTCAGGCCGCTCCTCCCGGGATTTTTCCACCCTGGGGTAGGGGTGCGGTGGGCCAGGGGTCAGGAGATGGCGGGCGGGGAGCGCCGCCACGTGCCCGGGTGCGGCCCCGCCCGAGCCCGCCAGTGACTCAGCCGCGCGGCTGTCGAGGAACACGGACTCGAGGGGCGTCGGGGACTGTGGGATTCGGCGTGGACGCCAGGGATGCGCGCCGCGCTCGGGAGGAGAGAGAAAACCAACCCCCTTTCCGCCCGGGCCGCGCTCGGTGACCCCTTGCCCCTAGCCCAGGCTCCGGAAGCCGCCCAGCCCTCGGCGGCGGGTCGGAGGAGGCGGTTTCACCGCGGCCGCCGCACGGCCGTCCCGCCCGTCCCGCCCTCCCCAGGTGGCTGTGAGCGCACATCTGACTGCGAAGAAACCCAAAGGGCCCGAAGTGGGACTTTCCCCTTCTTGAAAAAGTTGCCACTCTTGCAACTTGAGTATTCTTCCGCCTCGAAAAATAGCCCCGCCTGTTAAGCCCCGCGGGTGTCCGCGCTCTGTGACCTCTGCAGACACAGGCCAAGGGGCACGGCCGGTGATCCAGACATTGCCTGCCTGGGGCGGGCGGGGCTGGGATGTGGGGTGAGGCCCTGGGCTAGAGCCGATCCAGAGAAGGGACAATCCTCTAGACTGAGAATGGGCCCTGGTGAACCCAACCTGCACGACCCGAGAAGACGCTGGGGACAGAAGTGGCCCCGGTGGGTGCCTTCAGCTATGAGAGCGACTAGAGGATTTGGCCAAACTCTTCTTTGCTTTCTTATTACTTGAATAAGTAAAATCAAGGGTGGTGAGGCGGCAGCGCGCACGGCTTCGCCCCCGCCCCTTCCGCCAGGCGGGAGACACGTCCCCAGCCCGCCTTCCTTTCCCGCAGGGTCCACACGGGTCGGGCCGGGCGCGCTCCCGTGCAGCCGGCTCCGGCCCCGACCGCCCCATGCACTCCCGGCCCCGGCGCAGGCGCAGGCGCGGGCACACGCGCCGCCGCCCGCCGGTCCTTCCCTTCGGCGGAGGTGGGGGAAGGAGGAGTCATCCCGTTTAACCCTGGGCTCCCCGAACTCTCCTTAATTTGCTAAATTTGCAGCTTGCTAATTCCTCCTGCTTTCTCCTTCCTTCCTTCTTCTGGCTCACTCCCTGCCCCGATACCAAAGTCTGGTTTATATTCAGTGCAAATTGGAGCAAACCCTACCCTTCACCTCTCTCCCGCCACCCCCCATCCTTCTGCATTGCTTTCCATCGAACTCTGCAAATTTTGCAATAGGGGGAGGGATTTTTAAAATTGCATTTGCAAAGTTCGGTGTCTGGGCTGGCGAGTGGGGGAGGGAGGGAATGGGGAGTAGGCCCCGCCCCTACCGTCCTTTGCAAATAAAAATCTAGCGGGGCGGGGGGGGGGAGGAGCAGGAAGTGGCGGTGCGAGGGCTGCTGCACAGCGAGCGGAGCCGCGGTCCGGACGGCAGCGCGTGCCCCGAGCTCTCCGCCTCCCCCCGCCCGCCAGCCGAGGCAGCTCGAGCCCAGTCCGCGGCCCCAGCAGCAGCGCCGAGAGCAGCCCCAGTAGCAGCGCCATGGCCGGGTGGAACGCCTACATCGACAACCTCATGGCGGACGGGACCTGTCAGGACGCGGCCATCGTGGGCTACAAGGACTCGCCCTCCGTCTGGGCCGCCGTCCCCGGGAAAACGTTCGTCAACATCACGGTACTGCGAGGCCTGCGCGGTCCGGGGCACTGCTCCGGTTTGGACCCTGAGGGAGGGACTTGGGTGGGGGCGGGCGCGGTCTAGGGCGCGCAGCGAGAGGCCCTGACTGGGTGCTTGCCCTGGAAGCGGCGCGAATGGCGGCTGCACGTGAGTGGGTCCCTCAGTTGCCCGTAGGTCCTATGCCCCAGGCGGCGGCGCCCATCCCGCCCGCTACCCCGCTTTCCGCGACGGGGCGTTACATCCGGGGCACAGGGCGGGGAGGGGCGCGGCGCCCGGTGCGGCGGCCCACTTCCGCCTCTCCCAGGGCGGGGCGGGGACGCGCCTCAGTTTTTACTGGGGATTGGGATTGAGAGGGGACCCGGGGATCCTTGGACCCCCAGCTCCCCGTCCGGCTGCCAGCCCGCGTCCCTCTACCATTGTTTCTCCTGGTGCGGAAGGGAGCCCCAGGCGCGTGGTCTTGGTCCCTTGCCCACCCTCTGTGGGCTTCTGGCCCCTCCTAACTCCGTTAGAGAGGGCGAGGCCACCACACGCCCCCCCAGCTCAGCACGTTGGATTCAACATTCCTGCGAGGCCAATCCCGGAAGTCCCCTCGCCCTCCCTTCCCGCCATCCGGCGGGGCCTGGAGCAGGGGAACTTTGTGAGAAGTTCTGAGACAGCATAAGCGAAAGTATATTGGTTTACTACCGCTGCTCCCACCACCATCTCCCTGTCCACACTGCCCGGAAGTGGGGAGGGGGAGCGGAAGTTCAAAAGGGGGGGGAAGGGGGTTTCCGGGCGGGAGGGGACCGGATGTGGGGGCTTGGGGTGAAAGGGGGAGGGGGGAAAGGTTCCCGGGGTACCTAGACCCGAGAGCTGGCCTGCCGGGTCTGGCCCCTGTCCACCTTCAAAAGTTTTCCAACTTTCCCGGAAAGCCCCCAGGGGTCTGCTTCCTCATCTCAGAGCAGAGATACCTGGAGCTAAACTCTAGGTTACTTGGAGACCCAGGCGTCCGGGCCCTAACAGCTCCTGCAGAACCTTTGACCAAATAAGGGCAAAGTTGCTTCTCTTGCCTCGCCCGCCCCCCTCCCTTCCCCTCTCCGCTTCTGCTTTTCCTGAAGGAGAGTTCTGAGCATCCAAAGGCTCCTCACTTACCTCACTGACTCCCTTTATTTCCTGGGTTTACTTTCCCCATTAACACTGACATCTAAATCTCTAGAGGAGTATGTCATCCCTTCCTCCCTGGTTCCATATTCTAAGTTTCAGAATCATGATCTTTTTCTGCACTAACGTCCCACAGTCCTCAGAGTTTCTCACAGTTCATTGATGTGTACTGAGTATATAATTTATACTTAGCCCCCACGGCGGGGTGGTTCTCAGAAGTGGAAGACAGGTGGGTCTTTGGAGAACACGGTGGGAATCTTGGTGCACTGACTAACTTGATGGGCGCTTGGTTCCTCTTCCAGCCAGCTGAGGTGGGTGTCCTGGTTGGCAAAGACCGGTCAAGTTTTTACGTGAATGGGCTGACACTTGGGGGCCAGAAATGTTCGGTGATCCGGGACTCACTGCTGCAGGATGGGGAATTTAGCATGGATCTTCGTACCAAGAGCACCGGTGGGGCCCCCACCTTCAATGTCACTGTCACCAAGACTGACAAGAGTGAGTTCCTGAGTCTTACCCTTCCTTTAGCTCCAAGATCTCTAATGTACCGCCTTCTGGTAATCTTGAGGGTGCTTTTTTGTGTGATTCCCCAACATGAAGGGAGTCAGACCAGTATTGTGTTCCTTGTCTGCTGGATGCTGGAACACGGGATAGTCCCTCCATTCTGTCTCAGTTCCTCATCTTGTAATTCGAAGTTGCTGAACTGCATTACCTCTTAAATTACTTACTGCCTTGAGCTCGGATTAGAAACTGTTTTCTAGGAGTATAGGTAGATTGTTGGGGTCTTGAATCATCGAGTTCATCGTTTGAGTTCTTTTGTTAGAACCTGGAGGTGGCATGCACATCCACAGCCCTTTCTAGCCTGAACACATGAATCAACAGTCTATGAGCCTTTGACCCCTAAGTTTTTAGTCTGTTCCTCTCCAGCGTTTAAGCTTGATTTTCCTCTTTTGAAAAGCCTTATTGTTTCAGGGTGACTGACAGCCTGCCTGTGTGTGGTGGGGGGGCGGGTTGGGAGAGATGAGGTTGGGTTACAGCCCCCAGGGCTGGACAGCTGCTGAACAGCTGGCAGGGGGTGGAATTGTGACACCTGGATCCTAGCCTCCTTTCTCTTTCCTCCTCCTCCAGCGCTAGTCCTGCTGATGGGCAAAGAAGGTGTCCACGGTGGTTTGATCAACAAGAAATGTTATGAAATGGCCTCCCACCTTCGGCGTTCCCAGTACTGACCTCGTCTGTCCCTTCCCCTTCACCGCTCCCCACAGCTTTGCACCCCTTTCCTCCCCATACACACACAAACCATTTTATTTTTTGGGCCATTACCCCATACCCCTTATTGCTGCCAAAACCACATGGGCTGGGGGCCAGGGCTGGATGGACAGACACCTCCCCCTACCCATATCCCTCCCGTGTGTGGTTGGAAAACTTTTGTTTTTTGGGGTTTTTTTTTTCTGAATAAAAAAGATTCTACTAACAAGGTGCTGTGTGATTTGAGCTTGGGTGTCAGAATGGGGGATAGGCACTGTGACTTGCCTCCTTTATCGTGGCTTGGGAGCAGGGAGGTTGAGGTACTACAAGGTGCAGGAATTTGAGCTTCTGGCCAGGTGGCCCTGCCCCTCCACAGTGGCATTTCCAGGCCTAAGTCCTCAGTGTGCTGGTCAAATTGGTGGATGATGGAATAGAGCCATCTGGACCAGAGAATGGGTGCAGGCCTGCAGGCAAGGCAGGGCTAGTTGAGTCATCCTTGTGGGTGGGGCTCCCCCTTCTGAGTCATAGCAAATGCCGGCTGGGGCTGTCCCCATGACTATAGGTTAGTGTCTCTCAGCATTCCCTTGCTCCTTATGGCTAAAGGGGTGATTCCACCAAAGGGTTAAGTTCACCTGTGTGAGAATGATCTTACCCTTCCTTAGTCCACAAAGAAACAATTTTATTAGCCCAAGAAGTGAAGACCCAGTCCCTCTGCTTGCCCCAGCTCCACCCCAAAGCCCCTCAAAAGGATAGGTGTGGGTAAGGGAGAAGCTTGGGATGGAATGTCCCCTATCCCTCAGAAGACTGGAGGGAAGACGACGGTCTGTGCAAATAGGTCACCAGAGGTGTATGTGTGGGGGGTTATTAGACCAGGATAACAGGGGAAGAGGGAGGGGACAGTGGGGGATCTGTTGAAGGCCCAGGAAAAACAAGGGGAGCTGGGGCTAAGGAACCAAAGGAGGTGGGAAGAGTGGGGCTAGAACCCAAAAGTGGGGTCCTTTCTGAGGCAGGGTGGTCCCTTGGCTCCCCTTCATCACCCTCCTCTTGCCCTTGAGTTTCTTCCTCTTGGTCTTCGTCCCCAGGACCCCGATGAACAGGCTGCTTGCAAATGGGGCAGGTCTTCCGGGTCTGAGTGAGCCAGGGGTCCACGCAGCGGCTGTGGTAGGCTGCAGAGAGGAACAAGGTGAAGCACCTGGTGGCTGCTGGTGGCAGAGGGGCATGGGCAGGCAGTGAGGGCCTCACCATGAGCACAGGGGAGTACCCGCAGCTTGTCCCCATCCTCATATTCATCCAGGCAAATGGCACAGACATCATACTGGTCTCCTGGGACAGAAAGAAAATAATCTAGTCCTTCACTGAGCCACAATGACCCAGGGCTAAGGCTTTTAAAGCCTTGCAAAAATTTCCCCTCACCTACAAAGCCAGTGGAAGAGATAAGACAGGTAGGCAGGATAAGGTCAGGGCAGAACATGGAAGAATTTAGGGCTAGAAGGGACAAGCAAAGAGAAGCAGAGGTAAGAAGGGAAGTGGGTTTTTGGGGAGGTGTGAGGGTGGAGATAGGGAGTGGAAGGAACGGAAATGGGCAGGGCTTCTGCCACAGCCTTATACGGGCACTGGAGGCCCCAGGGCCTAAAGCCCCAGCCCCTTGGTACCGGTTTCTTCCTTCTCTAACTGAATCCTCCCCATTCCTCCCATTTTTCTGCTCTGTCCACATCCCCTATAAGCAAAGTCTATCCCTCTATTGTTTCCCACAATTATTTCACTTAATCATCTTTGCTTTCCATCTCCTCTCCCGTCTTCGTTGTATTTATGCATAAAAACAGAAGAAAAGACAGCATCTCAAGCTGAAACCTTCCTACTGCCATCTTTATTTTTATTATTATTTTTTTGAGAAAGGGACTCCCTCTGTCGCCCAGGCTGGAGCACAGTGGTGCAATCTCAGCCCCCGACAACCTCCGCCTTCCTGGTTCAAGTGATTCTCCTGTCTCAGTCTCCCAATTAGCTGGGACTACAAGTGCACACCACCATGCCCAGCTAATTTTATTTTTTTATAGAGATGGGGTCTCACCACATTGCCCAGGCTGGCCTGAACTCCCGGGGTCAAGGGATCCACTTGCCTCAGCCTCCTAAAGTGCTGGGACTTTTCTGTTTTATCATGTCACCCAGGCTGGTCTCAAACTCCTGGGCTCAAGTGACCTGCCCACCTTGGCCTCCCAAAGTACTGGGATTAGAGGCACTTGGGATTACGTGAGCCACTGTGCCCGGCCACTGCCATCTTTGTATACCCTATCTTCTGGGCTCAAAGTCCTTCAGAACCAGGTAAACTGTGGGAAAAGCCCTCTTCTCCCCTAACCCCCTCACCCTTCTGATAGTCATGTGTAGGAATCTGTTTCAGTTGCTCTTTGGTAAGTCGATTCCGCTGGAGCCGTTTCCGGTGCTGGATACAACGAGCTATCTGGGGGAAGCGGGGGTGGATGGACAAGGCTTAGGAACAAAACTAGACAATCTAGGACAAGCCACTCCCATCTCCCAACTCCAGATCCAGTCTGGCCTCACAGGCCTCAGTGCTTCCCATCATGTTCCCTCAGCTACTCACCATTACTGCTCCCATGGCCAAAACCAGCAGTCCCACAATCCCTGTGAAAGGGATGAGGTAATAGCCCAAGGGGAAGGTATTGTCTGGAACCAGAAGCACCCGAGCCCTGGGAAAAGGATGACCAGTCTCAGCAGGGCGAGAAAGGCAAAGGGAGAAAAAAAGAGGGACAAAGTAACTGGCTCTGGACAAAGCCCATAGGTGGGGACAGGAATGGGAAGAAAGTCAAAGAGGCAGGGAAGGAAGGACAGGAGGCTGAATGGTTCGGGTAATGAGGAGGCCTGGGCTCCAGGTTGGCATGGAACTGCTTGCTGAAGGAAGAATGGGAAGGAGGCACATGTCCTACCCCTTCTCGTAGACAAAGAGGGCACGCAGGTACTCGGAGCTTCTCTCCCCAATAAATACAGACGGGATCCAGATCTGCTGCTGGATTTCCTCTGCAGGGATCAAGGTGTTACTCTGGGGACTCACAACCTTCTACTCAAATCCTCTGGGAACCCTGGCATCTTGCACTTTGGCCCCACCCCACCTAAAGGATTGGCTTCTTTTCCTGAGGCCTTCAGCCTTCCCACCATCTCTGGGTCCTACTGAAAGCCCAGCTGTATAGATTCCCCCAGCCTTACCACTATTCCACACCATGTTCAGAAGTTCATTGGAATTCACATTGTGTACTACAGCGGCACCATATCCAGCCTTCTGGGCATTTAGGACCTAGGGAGACAAGGCAGAGGACAAGGAGCCATCATGGGCCTTACCTGTCTTCATTCCTGGTGCCTTTTTTTTACCCTCAGCTGCCCAGCTCCCCTTCCTCATTCAGCAACCTTGAGGTCAAAGTTGCAGTCGAATCTTCGAAGCAGCGCAATAAAGACTGACCCATTGACCGGGGCTGGGGGTGGTGGGGCAATGGGGCTGCAGGCATTGTCTGGGTGAGCCTCCACAAGGAACCCCTGAAGGATGGAAGCAAACAACAGTGAGATTTCTCCTTTCTAGATTCTGCTCTCTACAGGGGCCACCAAACACACCAGCCCACATGCTGCACATCCTCTATCCTCACTTCCTCCTCCTTCCTGGGGTCTGAGTGAGCATCCCACCATCACAACCTTCTCTTAGCCTCTTGAAAAGGCAATGACATAAAACATCCCTTCACCAAACTCTCCCATCATCCCTCTCGCTGTCCCAGATGGGCTAATCTGTACCCTATACTGCAAGCTAATGCAATTATTTTTGCCTTCTAATATTCCAATTGTAATTCAATTCTCAAACCACCCATGTCACTTTCTCTCAAGTTCTGTTTCACAGTCCCCTCTCCAGCACATACTCATACAGACACACTCCCCTCCCTTCAGTTTTCTTTTTGTTTTTCTTTTTTTTGAGATGGAGTCTCGTTTTGTCACCCAGGCTGGAGTGCAGTGGCGCGATCTCGGCTCACTGCAACCTCCACCTTCCGGTTTCAAGTGATTCTCCTGCCTCAGCCTCCCAAGTAGTTGGGACTACATGCGTGCACCATCACGCCCAGCTAATTTTTGCCATTTTAGTAGAGATAGGGTTTCTCCATGTTGGCCAGGCTGGTCTTGAACTGGGATTACAGATGTGAGCCACCGCGCCCGGCCTCTTCAATTTTCTAATTACCCATCTCACAAACAACTCGACTGCTACTAAGGCCCAACTGAGTTCTTGCTATGTGGCAGTCTTTGGGATGAAATACTACCAAAATTGCGTATCTACTTTGATCTTCACAATAACCCTAGGAAAACTTCTAATATCCCATTTTACAGTAAAACAAACTAAGGCTCAGAGAGATTAACTTGCCCAAAGTCATATAAGCAATAACTAGCACCTGAGACCTTCCTGATAAGGACCGTTGATCCTGCCTTCTGTCTTCGTCCACTTTCAGTCTCCCTGATAACCTCGGAGTTCCAGGGGTGGACACTCTGTCTTCTCCCTCTAGATTCTGGGTTCTACACTAGACGTGCTCAGTTCCTAACTTCATTTTCCTACCTCCAGTTTCACCCAGGACAAACCTCCCCAACCCCAGCCTAGGATGGAGGATCTTGCGAAATACTAAAAAAAGAAAAAAGACAGAAAAGGAAGGAAGGGAGGGAAGGAGGAAAAGAAAAGAAAGAAAATCACCTGGAGGCCCTCCTGGCTCAAGGTAGCCCCAAACAGAGCTGGAAGGTCTGCAAAGTCCATGCTGGCATTGTGGTCCGAGGTCTGCGGACAAAAAAGGCGATGTTCCCCTTCAGCCTGCAACCCTTCCTTTCAGCGCCCTTTCCCCATCCGTCCCTCAGACTCACCGCTCGAATGAGCCCCCGGGTCGGGGCCGCTCCCCACAGCACAGCGGCCACAACCACAGGAAGCGGGAAGGCTGCAGGGTGCATGGCAGCGGGAGGAAAGAGGCTGAGGAGGCCGCGCGTCCTGGTAGCAAGGAGCAGAAGCGGAGTTCTGCGCCCTCCCTGCCCCTCCTTTAGGATCCCAGGGGTCCAACCACCCCCAGGTCCCACTTCCCAGCTACATGGGGGCGCCGGGGAAGGAACACCAACTCAAAGAATGAGATATCCAACCCGTTTAGTGGAGCTGGGTGGGAGGCACTAAATGTATCCTTTTCTGGTACGGGGATAAAACGCGGAAAGGGGACGGAGCCTAACACAGGTGACAGAAAAACTTCGGGAAGGGTGGCGGAGCTCAAGGAGGTGGGACTTCCTGCTAGGTGGGCCGTGTTCCCAGCCTCTGGAAAAGGGCTTCCGGTAGAGAAAATCAGGCCGCTTTCAGCATTGGATGCTTGAGATGAAGGACTTCCGGTCCTAAAAGGCCGGTTAAAAAAAGGTTAGCGATGGAGGGACTGCCTGTGGAGATGGAAGGGGCACTGGTGGCCCAGAAGACGACCTAATAAAAGTGCCCGGAAACCCGGAGCCTCCTAGTTTACAAACCTCTCCTCCCTCTGGCCTCCGCCGCTCCTTCAAATCTCGCGAGAGTGCTCACCACCTCTCCCGTCCCCTCGCAGCTGAATAGTTGCTGTGTCTATCGCGAGAGCGCTCCAACTTGGCGAGCCGTACTCACTCGATCTCGCGAGACCTTCAAACAAACTCTTCTCTATTTTCCCGCGATTCTAATTCGGTGAAAACAGCGCCTTTCCTCTGGTTTCCAAATCAGTTACGCCCCTTCTCGCACGCTTCCATCAAGCTCCTCCTTCAGCTCCGCCTTACTCCCGGCCGCCTTTGCGCTGCGCGCCTGCGCCCGCGCCGGCTTCCAGCGGGTGTCGGACCTGAGAGCTGGAGGGGCGTGCGCGCGCCCTCGCTCTGTTGCGCGCGCGGTGTCACCTTGGGCGCGAGCGGGGCCGCGCGCGCACGGGACCCGGAGCCGAGGGCCATTGAGTGGCGATGGCGGCGACGGCGAGTGCCGGGGCCGGCGGGATAGACGGGAAGCCCCGTACCTCCCCTAAGTCCGTCAAGTTCCTGTTTGGGGGCCTGGCCGGGTAAGCTCAGGCCCCAGGGATGGGAAAAGAGGAGGAAGGGAAGGGCAAAAGGAACCGGGCCCGGTTCATCTCTGGGTCTGTTGCAGTGAACTGTGCCGGCACGGGGTCAGCGCGATCTCCAGCGTATTGCGAGTTCCCCGATGGGCTGCTAGGGCCCCATTGCAGGACCCTTATGGACTGCATGCAGGGTCGTTGCACAACCCCCGCCGGGCCAGCTGAGTTTCCCAGCGCATTGCTAAGCTCGGCCGGGCGGCAGGGGGTTCCAGGCCATTAAATGGCTCCTGCAGGACTACCTGGAGTCCTAAATCTTGGATGCCCCTTCCTCCCCTCCCTGTGTCGGACTGCGTGCAGCCCCAGGTCACTGCTTGACTGTCATGAAGCTGCTTGGAGCACTTTCATTGCATGGCCCCTACTGGACAACTAGACTTTTCAGACCCGTTGCACTTGGTGTACATATAGACTCTTATACACATGCTCACCAGCATCCTGATTCTTGAATCGCATGGCAGGCCCTGACCTTTGTAACCTCTTGCTGCCAGGCTCCAGTGGGCACTGGTAGATCTGGAATGCCTGGCCCTTCACTCCACCTCTGTCTTCCCCCAGGATGGGAGCTACAGTTTTTGTCCAGCCCCTGGACCTGGTGAAGAACCGGATGCAGTTGAGCGGGGAAGGGGCCAAGACTCGAGAGTACAAAACCAGCTTCCATGCCCTCACCAGTATCCTGAAGGCAGAAGGCCTGAGGGGCATTTACACTGGGTATTGGGGCCTCAGGATGGAGGGTAGACTGTGGGTTGGCAGCTCTAGACCTTGGCCTGATATGCTGACCCCTCTGCTCCTCAGGCTGTCGGCTGGCCTGCTGCGTCAGGCCACCTACACCACTACCCGCCTTGGCATCTATACCGTGCTGTTTGAGCGCCTGACTGGGGCTGATGGTACTCCCCCTGGCTTTCTGCTGAAGGCTGTGATTGGCATGACCGCAGGTGCCACTGGTGCCTTTGTGGGAACACCAGCCGAAGTGGCTCTTATCCGCATGACTGCCGATGGCCGGTGAGTTCCAAGTCTGAACCTAACCCCAGCCCCATTCCCTCGAATCTAGAATGAAAGGACCAGTTTTTTATCCCGGATCTGGAGCAGAGTGTTTACCTGTTCTGGCCTTCCTTTCTTTGCACCTGTGGGCAATCCTGATCTTGACCTCTTTCTGCCTTCCCACCAGGCTTCCAGCTGACCAGCGCCGTGGCTACAAAAATGTGTTTAACGCCCTGATTCGAATCACCCGGGAAGAGGGTGTCCTCACACTGTGGCGGGTGAGTGGAGGGGCTGGAGACTTGGGGGCTGTGAGGTCTGGTTTTAGGGGTTTCTGACTCTTCCCCGCTCCCCTCCCTCCAGGGCTGCATCCCTACCATGGCTCGGGCCGTCGTCGTCAATGCTGCCCAGCTCGCCTCCTACTCCCAATCCAAGCAGTTCTTACTGGACTCAGGTGAGATCCAGAGCTGGGCCCTTAGTTCCCAGCCTGGCCTGAGCCACCTCTGAGCTGACTGCCACCCCCGCCTCACCTCCCCCAGGCTACTTCTCTGACAACATCTTGTGCCACTTCTGTGCCAGCATGATCAGCGGTCTTGTCACCACTGCTGCCTCCATGCCTGTGGACATTGCCAAGACCCGGTGAGTGTGCAGCCTGGGCCTGGAGGTGGGTGGGAGGGTGCCCTTTCGGTCTCTCATGCCCCTGCGTCCTCTCCTGCAGAATCCAGAACATGCGGATGATTGATGGGAAGCCGGAATACAAGAACGGGCTGGTGAGGAAGCCATTCTGGGGGCCTGGGAGGGGGTGTCGGATCCCCTGGGAAAGGTGTGAAGGCAGCTGGGTGAGGGGGATGGGGACCTAGAGTCCTAGCCCCAGCGCCCTGCCTGTCTGTGTCTAGGACGTGCTGTTCAAAGTTGTCCGCTACGAGGGCTTCTTCAGCCTGTGGAAGGGCTTCACGCCGTACTATGCCCGCCTGGGCCCCCACACCGTCCTCACCTTCATCTTCTTGGAGCAGATGAACAAGGCCTACAAGCGTCTCTTCCTCAGTGGCTGAAGCGGCCGGGGGCTCCCACTCGCCTGCTGCGCCTATAGCCACTGCGCCCTGGGGGCCTGGGCTCTGCTGCCCTGGACCCCTCTATTTATTTCCCTTCCACAGTGTGGTTTCTTCCTCTGCGGTAAAGGACTTGGTCTGTTCTACCCCCTGCTCCAGCTTGCCCTGCTCGTCCTGATCCTGTGATTTCTCTGTCCTTGGCTATTCTTGCAGGGAGCTGGAAAACTTCTGAGGATTTCTGGCCTCCCCCTGGGTTTTAGTTTCAGGGCACACAGGACAGCAGAAGATCCCCTTTGTCAGTGGGGAAACCAAGGCAGAGCTGAGGGGACAGGGAGGAGCAGAAGCCATCAAGATGGTCAAAGGGCCTGCAGAGGGAGATGTGGCCCTTCCTCCCCCTCATTGAGGACTTAATAAATTGGATTGATGACACCAGCCCCAAATCTGGAGAGTCTGGGGGGTGGCTAGGAGAGGGGAGGAGACTGGACAAAGAAGCTGGAGAATAGGAACTGGAGTTTTTAAGAAAAATTGTTAAAGAAAAAGCAGCCGCTGGTTTTTTGCAAATGCTGTATAAATCTGTCATGCCACAGCAGCTGACAGGGCCAGAAAAACTCAAATCCCAGGCCCGGTGTGTTTCCTCCAGCCACTCGCCCAAGAATGCCACCGATGCCCAGATCATCTCACATAATCCCCAGGAAAAGCCCCTCGGTCTGATGACTGCTTCTGCAGCCTAAAGAGGGAGGAAATAAAGAGACTTAGAGAGGAAGTCAGACCACTGTGGGCTGGAGGCAGTGCAGGTGGAAGGCCAGGGCTTAAGTGGGTGGGCACTGGAAGCTTGAGGAAAGGGGAATGCTGGCCAGAGACCTGATCTGGGTCCTTGGCTGGGGAGAGTGAGAACCTTGTCCATTTCTTTAGAAGATGTGTGGTTCCCAGGCCAGCCTTCAAGGAGCCTTAAAACCTCTTGGGGCACAAGAGAGTTTGGGAAGGTCAAACTGAGGAGTGCTTGCCAGGCTAGGGGACAGGCAGGCAGCAGGTGGGAGCTGTCCCTTTGGCAGAGCCTCATCAGCAGAAGAGGTGGAGCTCAGCATCCTGGCGCCCCTGCTGCTGCCTCTGTGTACACTGTCCTGCGCCTTGGTGGCTATTGTGAGATGCCTGAAGCCTAGACCTTGTCCTTAAGGAGTTCCTGGTCCAGAAGACAAGATTATACAGGAGCAGTTGGGAAACTGAGTGTAGCAATAGTGTTGCAGGGTAACTTGGAGCACCTGGCCTCGCCTGGGAGTAGTGACTTGCAGACTGAGTGGTTAGACTGGCTGGGGATGGGGCAAGGATAGCACACCTGGCTGGACTGAGGGCAAAGGCTTAGAGTAAAACACTGTTGGGGAGCAGGTGATCTATAGGCTTGTGATAGTTGGAGCACAGACTGTGAGGTATCTCCCTTGAGATGAAGCTGGACTGTCAGATGGGGTCAGTGCTTGGCACTCCCTGACTGCCAAGCTCAGGAGTTGGTCCTCCACCTGGGGAGAGATTCGGTCAGACTTTCAGGTTTGGGAGATCTTCAGGACCATCTGGAGGGGGATGGGGGTCTCCATAGTCCCATTCTCTGGGCCCCAAGCCTTGGATTGGGCTGGAGACAAGGCAGGAGAGGAAGCCACACCAGTGTGTTTAGAGAATGGCAGGATTTATGAGAAAAGAAATGGGGTTCCATTTGCCTGTGTCCCAGCCTGAGAGCAGGAAACCCAAGACTATTCAGTCACACCAAGATGGTGCATGCTGCAGGGTCCACCCCTTGCTGTCCTGCTGACCTGGGCAGTGAGGAGAGCTGCACTTCTGAGGCTGCAGGTGCAAAGCAGGCACCCACCTTTGCCCCTAGTACTGCAGGCTGCTGCCAGGTAGGTCCCAGCAGTTGTCATTAAACTCCAGGAAGGCAATTTTTGAGCTGGATCTGATGCCTGGGGTGGCCTGGTGGGTGGCCAGCCCTGGAGGAGAGGAGGCACCCCAGGCAGGGGAAGTGTAGGCTGTAACTGGAGGTCTATTGGATAAGTAGTTGTGACCAGGGTAGGGCATTTGGAGCCTTGTGAATTCTCATGACAGGTGCCCCAGCCACTCTTCACCAAAAGAAGCCAAGTTGTTTTGAGACAGGCTCTCACTCTGTCACCCAGGCTGGAGTACAGTGGCACCTTCAGGGCTCACTGCAGCCTCCATCTCCCAGGCTCAGGTGATCCTCCCTCCTCAGCCACCCAGGTACCTGGGACCACAGGTGCATGCCACCACACCTGGCTAATGTTTTGTATTTTTTGTAGAGGTCGGGTTTTGCCATGTTGCCAAGCCTGGGCCAAACTCCTGGGTTCAAGCAACCCACCCGCCTCAGCCTTCCAGAGTGCTGGAATTACAGGCATGAGCCCCTGCACCCGGCCAGAAGTTTTTTTTTTTTTTTTTTTTTTTTAGACGGAGTCTCACTCTGTTACCCAGGCTGGAGTTCAGTGGTACGATCTTGGCTCACGGCAACTTCCGCCTCCCAGGTTCAAGCGATTCTCCTGCCCCACCCTCCCGAGTAGCTGGGGTTATAGGTGTGCACCACCACGCCTGGCTAATTTTTGTATTTTTAGTAGAGACAGGGTTTCACCATGTTTGCCAGGCTGGTCTCGAACTCCCTACCTCTGGTGATCCACCCGCCTCGGCCTCCCAAAGTGCTAGGATTACAGGCATGAGCCATCACTCCCAACCCTAAAATTATTTTTTATTATACAGATAATATACAATAATAGTGGAAAACTAGAAAATGCTAAACAGGGAAAAAGAAAATAAAACCACCCATATTTGTAACATCCAGACACAACGAGTGCTCACATCCTGATAAATCACTTTCCAGATTTTCTTCTGTGCATAGATGCATGTGGGAACCATGCTGTATTCTGCCAAAATGGTTCACCGTGAGATCTGGCAGCGCCCCATGCAGCATCGGGAGCTTTGTCTTGTCCCCCCGCCAAGTCCATGTCATTACCCCTTCTGCTTTGGCTGGGACTGAAATTGTGTGCCTGTGTTGTGAAGACAGGGCTTCTGATACAGAAAAAGGAACTAAGACCCCTCCCTATCACCCTGTGTTCCTTACCCCTCCAACCCCCAACTAGATTCCAATAGGAGAGCCCACAGGCTCTTCTCTCAAGGTCCCCAAACCTCCCACCCTCAGAGGCTGTGGCCAGAGTACCTAATGCTCACTGTGCTCAGCAGGTCCTGACCACGACCCTGACTCAGAGCTGAGGGCCTCCTTCCTGCCACTAGAGGCCCCACACGGCCATTAGGCCGTACCCACAGGAAGAGGCTGGAGCGGAAAGTGGGAAGCGAACCTCGAAGGAAGAGCAGCCAGGCCCGGGGCACTGTCACTTGCCGTCCCCTCTGCAGCTCCAGGTGTGTGGTTTGTGTGGCTGTGGTCAGAGCAGCACCTTGGCCAGAGTCCAGGGCCTGTGGTTTCACATGCCCAACCCAGCTCAGCAGCAGGATGAGGACCACAGAGGCAAAGAGCAGCCAGAAGAGACCCAAGACATAGAAGCCCAGGGGGAGGAGGCAGCAAAAGTCGGGGTGGAGAAAAGGGTCATTTCTGGAGCTCTCCAAATGCCCTTGGAGCACCCCACGGAGCTTTGGTGGCTGATCAAGTTCAGGGATGGTTTTTTTGGTGGATTCTAAGAGTGATACGGGTTTTGTGGTAGTTAAAAATGTGCTTTTTGGAGTGATCAGGCTTGTGGCAGACACCAGGATGGTCGGGCTTGTGGCGATGGTCGGGATTGGGGTGGGCTCCGGGGTGGTCGGGCTGGGGGCGGGCTCTGAGGTGGGCTCTGGGGTGGTCGGGCTGGGGGCGGGCTCTGAGGTGGGCTCCGGGGTGGTCGGGCTGGGGGCGGGCTCTGAGGTGGGCTCTGGGGTGGTCGGGCTTGGAGTGGGCTCCAGGGTGGTCATGTTTGGGGCGGGCTCCGGGACGGGCTCTGAGGTGGTCGGGCTTGGGGTTGGTTCAGTAGTGGATTTTGGAGTTTTGGAGAATGTGATGGATTCCATGTGAAGTGTGAAATTTGGGGTCCATCTAGGTGGGAATGTGGTCTGCTCCTTAGTGGATTCTTGTGTTGGATGCAAGGAGGAGGGCATTTGGCTGTCTAGAGAAGCAGTGGACCATGAGTAGAATAGACCCCAGGGGGTTGTATGGGCTTTGGTGGGGAACTTGACCACAGTCCTTGTGGCACGCACCTTATCGCCCTCAGTGTCCTCTTCTGGGTAGTAATCATATAGGTCTGTGTCACCTTCATCACCAAGGGTGGGGCACCCCTTTCCTGGGTATTTGTAGACGGGAAACTTGTCTGAATTGTCACACTGCACACTGGCCACGTTAGAGGTCATGGCCTTGACGTCCACACCTTGCTTCCATACGTAGACATTTTCAGCATTGTCCTGCAGCCAGCGACGAAAATAGAGGATCTCACAGTTGCATAACCAGGGGTTCCCGTGGAGAAAAGCAAAAGGCAGGAGGTGGGACCCAAAAAAGCCCTTTGGTATTGTATACAGCGAGTTCTCTTGGAGGAGAAGGGTGTCGAGATTCTCCAGCCCATTCAGGAGCCCAGCGGGGAGCTCAGTCAAGTTGTTGTTAGCCAGACTGAGCTTCTCCAGCTTGGGTGTGGGCGTCAGGAGCCCTGGGGGCAGGGTCTTCAGCTCATTGCCTTTCAGGTAGAGCTCTTGGAGTTCGCCAAGACCACGCAGGGCACCAAGAGGCAGCGAGGTCAGCCGGTTGAAGGAGACGTCCAGGACGGTGAGAGCAGGCAGTGTCTGCCCTAGCAAGGGCAGGCTTTGCAGCTGATTGTGGGATAGATCCAGGGTCCCCAGCACTGGCAGCGTCCCATCGACCTGGAGCTTGGTGAGCTCGCACCTATCTAGGTTCAGCTGAGTGAGGCGAGTGTAAGGCATCAGGGTTGCCAGGGAGAAGGTGTACAGGAGGTTCTCACTCAGGTGGAGGATGGTTGTGTCTTTCGGCAGGTCTGGAGGCAGCGCTGTCAGATTCCTCTTGTCACAGTTCACTTCTAGGTGGCTGGCCACTTTGGAGACCTCACAGATGGGGTGGGGGTGTAAGGGGCTTGGCAGCAGGAGCAGCAAGAGGAGGAGAGGCATGAGGACCTGTGGGCAAGGGAGCCTTGAGTGGATCCCCCTGCATCCCCTGGAAGCATCCCCCCAGGCCCCAGCCCCCTTCCCCCTGCAGCTTCGCTTCCAGAAACAGCATCCACACCTCCTGTCCTCCCTACTCCCATCTCCCACCCTTGCCTGCAGAACTTAAAACTACTAGCTCCAGGTCCTTGGCTCTTTCCCCTCCCTCAGACCCCTCTCCTGCCCCAGCACCAACCCCGGCTTACAGGCAGGCAGAAAGACCTCCGAAGGCACAGAGCGTCTTCTAGGGTGCCACTCGACTCCGTCCTTCTCTCTTCTAGCCCCATGGAGGACTAAGCCAGTGGCAAGGAAGGGGATGGGGGTGAGGAGGAAATGCAGGCCTGATAGGGATTCCAGTGACCGGGAATCCCCTGGACACAAGCCCTTATCGCCTCACTCCACGGCTTTCCCCCAGGCCCTCTTTGTGGTTCTCTCTTCCGCTTTCCTTTTACACAGGGGAGATGGGGGTGGACTCCTCCAAACAGCCTTCTGCCATCTTTTAAAAACCTCTCCAGGGCCGGGCGCGTGGCTCATGCCTGTAATCCCAGAACTTTGGGAGGCTGAGGCGGGCGGATCACCTGAAGTCAGGAGTTCGAGACCAGCCTGACCAACACGGGGAAACCCTGTCTCTACTAAAAATACATTAGCCAGGCGTGGTGGCGCATGCCTGTAATCCCAGCTACTCGGGAGGCTGAGGCAGGAGAATCGCTTGAAACCGGGAGGTGGAAAGAGGTTGCGGTGAGCCGAGATCGTGCCATTGTACTCCAGCCTGGGTGACAAGAGCAAAACTCCATCTTAAAAACAAAAAAACCTCTCCAGATGCCCGCTTCTCTTCCTCTTCACAGCTGCATTCTGAGAGTTGCCTACTTTTAATTCTCTCCCACCTTTCTCTCTGCCTTCTCACCCCAGTCTATGCTGATTTCTTTCCCCTGCTACTCCATTGACTCGGTTCTTACCAAGGTCTTTAATGCTCTCCCTCCTCTACATCCATGGGAAACTTCTCCACTGTGATCTTACTTTATTTCGGCAGCCTGCATACCCATGGCCACTCGCCCCTTGGGATTCTCCTTTTGGCCTCTGTGACACATGACCCTGTAATTTTCTTGGTTTTCTTCTTACCTGTTTGGTTGGGCCTTCTCAGTCTCCTTCATAGATTCCCCTTCTTGAACAATTAAACTGCCCCCAGAGTTTGTGCTTAGGCTGTCTTCATTCCCAGCTAATTTTTATATTTTTAGTAGAGACGGGGTTTCACCATGTTGGTCAGCCTGGTCTCGAACTCCTCATCTCAAGTGATCCACCCACATTGGCTTCCCGAAGTGCTGGGATTAGAGGCATGAGCCACCGCGCCCGGCATTCTCTTCTTTTCTTACGCTATGCAACCACCTGAGATTATCCTCATCCATTCCCTTGCCTTCAACCACCACCTACAACCTAATGACTCTCAAATCTATGTCTCTAGTCCAGACCCTTCTCCTGAGACACAAGCACATATGTCCAGCTGCCTTCTGGACATCTCTACTTGGATGTCCCACAGACACCAAAACAATATGTTCAAAGCTGAACTCACCATCTCTCTCCAAATGGCTTCTCCTCCTGTGTTGCTCAGCCTGGTGAGTGGCACCATCATCCACTCATTTACCTAACCATTCAGTCAACACAAACAAAATCCCTAATAGTCATCTCTAACGTCTCCCGTCTTTCATCCCCATCACCAAGTCCTGGTGATTTTATCTCCCGTCTCTCTCAAATCTACTCTCCATCCACACCATCCTGCCAGCATTCCTAGTCCAAGGTTGTTGTTGTTTCTTGTTCATATCCTCCTCCTCCTCTTCTTCTTCCTCCTCTTCCTCCTTTCTTCTTCTTCTTCTTTTTTTTTTTTTTTTTTTTTGAGATGGAGTCTTGCCCTGTCTCCCAGGCTGGAGTGCAATGGCTCCATCTCGGCTCACTGCCACCTCTGCCTCCTGGGTTCAAGCAATTCTCCTGCCTCAGCCTCCTGAGTAGCTGGGATTACAGGCACCCGCCATCATGCCCGGCTAATTTTTCATATCTTTAGTAGAGACGGGGTTTTACCATGTTGTCCAGGCTGGTCTCCTTTGCTCTGTCTCCCAGGCTGGAGTGCAGTGGCGCAATCATGCCTCACTCAAGGACAAACTCCTGGACCCAAGGGATCCTCCTGCTTCAGCCTCCCAAGGAGTTGGGACTACAGGCATGCACCACCACACCTGGCTGATTTAAAAATTTTTTTCTAGAGACAGAAAAACATTTGTTTGTTGCCTAGGCTGGTCTCAAACTCCTGGGCTCAAGCGATCCTCCCACCTCGGCCTCCCAAAGTGCTAGGAGTACAGGCGTGAGCCACCATGCCCTGCCCAGGGCACCATCTTCTCGCTACTGCTTCCCTGCAACAGCCTCCTTGCTGGTCTCCCAACTTCCCAATTCCCTTTCTTCTCTTTATTCTCCACTGGAGTGGTCTTTCAGAACTGCACATTTGCTCATATCCTTCCACTGCTTGAAATCCACCAATGGGCCAGGCACAGTGGCTCACACCTGTAATCCTAGCAGTTTGGGAGGCCGAGGCGGGTGGATCACCTGAGGTCAGGGGTTTGAGACCAGCCTGGCCAACATGGTGAAAACCCATCTCTACTAAATATACAAAAAATTAGCCAGACGTGGTGGCCGGCACCTGTAATCCCAGCTACTAGGGAGGCTGAGGCAGGAGAACAGCTTGAGCCCCAGGGGGCATAGGTTGCAGTGAGCTGAGATCACACCCCCTCACTCCAGCCTGGGCGAAAGAGCGAAATTCTGTCTCTAAATAAATAAATAAATTCACCAATGGCTCCTCATAGATCTCAGGAGAAAGTCTAAAGTTCCCAACATGGCCTGCAGGGTCCTGCAAGGTCTCCCCTTTGCCTGCCTGTCCAGCCCCATCTGTTCCCACTCTGCCCTTACTCTTGATCATTCTCTCCTGTGCCTGAACTTTTTCTTCAACCCTTATCCCCTTCTGCCTAACTTTTACTTATTTGGCAAGTTCCAGCTCAGAATTCCTTCCTCTGGAAAGCCTTTTCTGACTTCCGAAGACCAGGTTAAATGTCTATTACAGAAAGTCAGACACCATGCCCTGCCTGTTGGTCCACTGCCCCTTCTGTGATGAGAATGTGGCCCTGCACTGTTCCCCAGTAGGAGCTCCATGCAGCCGCCTGAGCCTGCCCCTATCTGCTTCCAGCTGGTGACCGGACAAGGGATAGACACTTAAGCCAGATGCAGTTAATCCATAGATTTGCCATTTATATAATTTGCCCGCTGCAAAGGTATTGGAAAATGTGGGGAAGACGAGGTAGTATAGAAAGTGAGGTGGGAGTTTGTCTGGAGAGAAGCCATGAAATTGAATAAGGACCCCGAGCCCAGAGGCTGTTGATTTTTTTTTTTCTTTTTGACCCTCACCCAGGCTGGAGCGCGGCGGCGCCATCTCCGCTCACTGCAACCTGCTCATGCGATCCTCCCGCCTCAGCCTCCCGAGCAGCTGGGATCACAGGTGCACACCACCACGCCGGGCTAATTTTCGTATTTTTAGTAGAGAGGGCATTTCACCATGTTGGCCAGGATGGTCTTGATCTCTTTTTTCGCTCTTGTTGCCCAGGCTGGAGTTCAATGGAGTGATCTCGGCTCATGGCGACCTCCGCCTCCTGGGTTCATGTGATTCTCCTGCCTCAGCCTCCCAAGTAGCTGGGATTACAGGCATACACCACCACGCCCAACTAATTTTGTATTTTTAGTGGAGACTGGATTTCTCCATGTTGATCAGGCTGGTCTTGATCTTCCGACCTCAGGTGATCAGCCTGCTTCGACCTCCCAAAGTGCTGGGATTACCGGCATGAGCCACTGCGTCCAGCCTGCTCATATTTTATTTAGGACTTTTGCCTCTAAGTTAGAAAATAGGAGTGGCTTATAGATCTCTTTTGGGGATCTTTGTCTGTTTTTCTGTTTGTTTGGTTTTATGATCAGAGTTTATGCTAGCCTTGTAAAATAAATTGGAAAACTATATTCTCTGGAACAGTTATAGATAGGGATTTTCTGTTCTACATAGATTGGTGGAGTTCACCTATAAACCCATCTGGAGGCTGGGCACGGTGGCTCACGCCTGTAATCCCAGCACTTTGGGAGGCTGAGGCGGGCGGATCATGAGGTCAGGAGATCGAGACCATCCTGGCTAACACGGTGAAACCCCATCTCTACTAAAAAATACCAAAAAAATTAGCTGGGCGTGGTGGCGGGCGCCTGTAGTCCCAGCTACTTGGGAGGCTGAGGCAGGAGAATGGCATGAACCCAGGAGGCAGAGCTTGCAGTGAGCCGAGATCGTGCCACTGCACTCCAGCCTGGGCGACAGAGCAAGACTCCGTCTCAAAAAAAAAAAAAAAAAACCATCTGGATGTGGTGCCACTTCGGAGATAGGTTTTTGTGTTTTTTTGTGTGCTTGGTTTGGTGTGATTTGAGACAGGGTCTCACTTTGTCACCCAGGTGGAATACAGTGGTGCCATCATGGCTCACTGCAGCCTCAACCTCCCAGGCTCAAGCGATCTTCCCACCTCAGTCTCCTGAGTAGCTGGGACCTCAGGCATGTGCCACTATGCCCAGCTATTGTTTTAAATTTTTTGTAGAGACAGGGTCTCACTATGTTACCCAGGCTGGTCTTGAACTTCTGGGCTCAAGCAGTCCTCCTCTCTCCACCTCCCAGCCACTCAAAAGGCTGAGGTAGGAGGACTGTTTGAGCCCGGGAGGTCGAGGCTGCAGAAAGCCATGATTGCAGCACTGCACTCCGGCCTGGGTGACAGGGTGAGACCCTGTCTCAAAATAAAATAAATAAATAAATAAGTTCCTTCCCTAATATTCTTCCTGTTATTGAAGCCACCTTTGCAAAATTATGACTGAGACAGTGAAAGAGATCTAACCTAAGCAACTCCATCTTGCTTCTAAGCTTTAAGCTGTGCTTGTTCCTTCCTGAGCATAGGCTGAACTAACTTTGAGAGGAACTTAGTTTATTGTTTATAGTTACAGGCGTGAGCCATCACACCCGGCCTAGAGTTTATAGTTTAAAACAAAGACGGTAATAGCCCTTTCCCAAAACAAACCTACTTCTTGCCTGAGAACTAGACTGCCTTTGTAGTACTAACAAACTAGCCAAGAGATTACCAATTATGGTTTAGGAGTCCGGGCGCAGTGGCTCACGCCTGTAATCCCAGCACTTTGGGAGGCCGAGGTGGGCAGGTCACCTGAGGTCAGGAGTTTGAGACCAGCCTGACCAACGTGGTGAAACCCCATCTCCACTAAAGATACAAAAATTAGCCGGGTGTGGTGGCTCCCACCTGTAATCCCAGCTGCTCCGGAGGCTGAGGCAGGAAAATGGCGTGAACCCGGGAGGCGGAGGTTTCAGTGAGCCGAGACCGCGCCACTGCACTCCAGCCTGGCCGACCGAGCAAGACTGTCTCAAAAAAAAAAAAAAAAAAAAAGAAAGAAATTACGGTTTAGGAGTCATGCAGCTGGAGGCTACAGGATTCTGACCCTCCCTGGACTGCCCGTAAGATCAGTGCTTGAGACGTTTTGCCGACCCTGCACTTGATGGATCAGCTGGCGCCACCCAGATCAATAAACTGGCTCATCTGATCTTGTGGCCCCCACCCAGGAACTGACTCAGCACAAGAGGACAGCTTCAGCTTCCCATATTTTCATCTCTGACCTGATCAATCAGCACTCCCGGCTCACTGGCTTTCCCCCACCCACCAAGTTGTTCTTAAAAATTCCAATCCCTGAATGCTCAGGGAGACTGATTTGAGTAACAGTAAAACTCTGGCCTCCCACACAGTCGGCTCTGTGTGAATTCCTCTTTCTCTATCGCAATTCCCCCATCATGATAAATCGGCTCTGTCTAGGCAGCGGGCAAGGTGAACCCATTGGACGGTTGCCTTATTACCTGAGCCTAGCCCAGGGGTGTGACCTAATCACGGACAAGTGTACTCCTCCTAGGATTTCACGTGGTGAATAAGGTGGTACGAGGATGCAGAACTGGTCTTCATTCATTTCAGCAAAGTGTTCAGGAAAAGCTGTAGGGAAGTTCCTGCTACTAAGGTCCCCAAAGTTAGCTGATTCCTGAGCTATCCTGTGTTGTCAGTGTTCTCTTGCGTCCAGTGAGCTCCTGTATCTCTTTCCAAAAAAATTTCTGTTGGATTAGGTTAGCTAGAGTAGATTTCTATTACATGCATTTGAAGAAACCTAATCCAGTTCTTGTTTTTGTTGTTGTTGAGACAGTCTCACTCTGTCGCCCAGGCTGGAGTGCAGTGGCACAATCTCGGCTCACTGAAACCTCCTGCTCACTGCAACCTCTGCCTCCCGGGTTCAAGCGATTATCCTGCTTTAGCCTCCCGAGTAGCTGGGATTACAGGCACACGCCACCACGCCCAGCTAATTTTTGTATTTTTGTAGAGACGGGGTTTCACCATGTTGGCCAGGCTGGTCTTGAACTCCTGACCTCAGGTGATCTGCCCACCTTGGCCTCCCAAAGTGCTGGGATGACAGGTGGGAGCCACCGCACCTGGCCCCTAATCCAGTTCTCTAGTGTAGTTCATTTATTTTTCCTTCCTTCCTTTCTTTTTCTTTCTTTCGCTCTCTCTTTTTTTTTTTTTTTTTTTTTTTTTTTTTGAGATAGGGTCTCATCCTGTTACCCAGAGCCCAGACGGGAGTGCAGTGGAGTGGCATGATTGTGGCTCACTGCAACCTCCACCTCCCAGGCTCAAGCGATTCTCCCACCTTGGCCTGCCTAGTAGCTGGGACTGCAGGCATGTGCCACCACGTCTGGTTAATTTTTGTTTTTGTTTTTTTGTAGAGATGGAATTTGCCATGTTGCACAGGCTGGTCTTGAACTCCTGGACTCAAGTGATCCACCTGCCTCAGCCTCCCAAAGTGCTGGGATTACAGGCCTGAGCCTATGCGCCCACCCTAGTATAGTTCATTTCTAAAGAATTTGTAGCCGGGTGCGGTGGCTCACGCCTGTAATCCCAGCACTTTGGGAGGCCGAGGCGGGTGGATCATGAGGTCAGGAGATCGAGACCATCCTGGCTAACAAGGTGAAACCCCGTCTCTACTAAAAATACAAAAAATTAGCCGGGCGCGGTGGCGGGCGCCTGTAGTCCCAGCTACTCGGGAGGCTGAGGCAGGAGAATGGCGTGAACCCGGGAAGCGGAGCTTGCAGTGAGCCGAGATTGCGCCACTGCAGTCCGCAGTCCCGCCTGGGCGACAGAGCGAGACTCCGTCTCAAAAAAAAAAAAAAAAAAAAAAAAAAAAAAAGAATTTGTATAGAAGATGCCGGGCGTGGTGGCTCATGCCTGTAATCCCAGCACTTTGGGAGGCCGAGGTGGGTGGATCACGAGGTCAAGAGATTGAGAGCATCCTGGCCAACATGGTGAAACCTATCTCTACTAAAAATACAAAAAATTAGCCAGGAGTGGTGGCGGGCGCCTGTAGTCCCAGCTACTCAGGAGGCTGAGGCAGGAGAATCACTTGGACCCGGGAGGCGGAGGTTGCAGTGAGCCAAGATTGCACCATTGCACTCCAGCCTGGTGACACAATGAGACTCCATCTTAAGACAAAAAAAAAAAAAGAATTTGTACAGAAGACATTAGTTGGAGATGTATCCAAAATCCATTCAACTTTTACTCTTTTTTCTTTTGAGAAACTATTCCTACCTCATCCCTAGAATTTTTGGTGACATTGACTCTCAGCTGCGAGAGTGGATCTAAGCCACTTAATAGACTGCCTCCTCTCTGACACAGTTTAAGGACCCAACAAGTACCCTGACATAAGCTGATTAGGGTGTTCATGGTCATAGTGATTGGCCCAGGGATAGAAATAGGAAGTAAGTTGGTCCTTTCATGATGAAACCCAAGACTCTTGTTTGATGGTTAAGGTATACAAACCTTCTCTGAAAGTGGATGAGGAAATGTGTAACTCCAGGTGAGCTGTCAGCTGTTGGCATTATTCTGTGATTATGATGTGATCTGGCCTTCGGATGAAGCTATCATCAGAAAAGGTATGTGTTCATCAACAGTTGACTGGATAAAGAAAATGTGAGGTCAGATGTGGTGGCTCCAGCTTGTAATCCCAGCACTTTGGGAGGCCAGGGCCAGGGTGGGAGGATCATTTGAGCCCAGGTGCTGGAGGCTGCAGTGAGCTATGATCATGCCACTGCACTCCAGCCTGGGTGACAGAGCGAAACCCTGTCTCTAAAAATTAATTAATTAGGCCAGGCACGGTGGCTTGCGCCTGTAATCCCAGCACTTTGGGAGGCCGAGGCGGGCAGATCACTTGAGGTCAGGAGTTTGAGACCAGCCTGGCCAACATAGTTAAACCCTGTCTCTACTAAAAATACAAAAATTAGCTGGGCGTGGTGGCAGGCGCCTGTAATCCCAGCTACTCGGGAGGCTGAGGCAGGAGAGTCATTTGAACCCAGGAGGTGGAGGTTGCAGTGAGCTGAGATTGTGCCACTACACTGCAGCCCGGGTGACAGAGTGAGACTCCATCTCAAAAAAAAAAAAAAGTAATTAATTAAAGAAAATGTGATACACACACAAACACACACCATGAAATGCTATGCAGCCACTAAAAATAATGAAATCATGTCCTTTGCAGCAGCATGAATGGAGCTGGAGGCCATTATCCTAAGTGAACTAACTCAGAAACAGAAAACCAAACACTACATGTTCTCACCTATAAGTGGGAACTAAACAATGGTTACACATGGACATAAAGATGGAAATAATAGACATTAGGGGCTTTGAAAGAGGGGAGCTTGGGAGGGAAATGAGCATTGGACAATTACCTAATGGGGCCAGGCACGGTGGCTCACGCCTGTAATCCCAGGAGGCCGAAGCGGATGGATCACCTGAGGTCAGGAGTTCGAGACCAGCGGGGCCAACATGGCGAAACCCCGTCTCTACTAAAAATACAAAAATTAGCCAGGCTTGGTGGTGGGCACCTGTAATCCCAGCTACTCGGGAGGCTGAGGAAGGAGAATCGCTTGAACCCAGGAGGCAGAGGTTCTGGTGAGCCGAAATCGGGCCACTACATTCCAGATTGGGCGATAGAGCAAGATTCCGTCTCAAAAAAAAAAAAAAAAAAAATTACCTAATGGGTCCAGTGTTGACTGTTTGGGTGATGGGTACACTAGAAGCCCAGTCCTCACCAGGATGCAATATATTCATCTAACAAATATGTACATGTACCCCCTGAACCAAAACTAAAATAAACATTTCAGAAAAGAGCTTGGGGATGGTGGCTCATGCTTGTAATCCCTGCACTTTGGGAGGCCAAAGCTCGAAGATTGCTTAAATTTAGGAGTTTGAGACTGGCCTGGGTAACACAGTGAGGCCTCATCTCTACCAAAAACAAAAACGAAAACATTAGCTGGACTTGGTGGTGTACTTTTTTTTTTTTTTTTTTTTTTGAGACGGAGTCTTGCTCTGTCGCCCAGGCTGGAGTGCAATGGCGCGATCTTGGCTCACTGCAAGCTCCACCTCCTGGGTTCACGCCATTCTCCTGCCTCAGCCTCCCGAGTAGCTGGGACTACAGGCGCCCGCCACCACGCCCAGCTAATTTTTTTGTTTTGTTTTTAGTAGAGATGGGGTTTCACCATATTAGCCAGGATGGTCTCGATTTCCTGACCTCGTGATCTGCCCACCTCGGCCTCCCAAAGTGCTGGGATTACAGGCGTGAGCCACCGCACCCAGCCTGGTGGTGTACTCTTGTAGTCTCAGCTACTGAGGCAGGAGGATCGCTTTAGCCCAGGAGGCCAGGGCTGCAGTGAAACATGATCATGTCACTGCACTCCAGTCTGGACGACAGAGCCAGACCCTGTCTCCCTGTCTCAAAAAAAAAAAAAAAAAAAATTAGTCGGACATGGTGGCAGGCACCTGTAATCCCATCTACTCCAGAGGCTGAGGCAGGAGAATTGCTTGAACCAGGGAGGTGGAGGGTGCAGTTAGCCGAGATCATGCCATTGCACCCCAGCCTTGGTGGCAAAAGTGAAACTCTGTCTCAAAAAAAAAAAAAAAAGAAAAGAAAGAAAAAAATTATTTATTTTTTTGAGGAGAATTCAGGGAAGAAATGAGTTGGGTTTGTTTGTTTTGTTTTTCTATTTTATTTATTTATTTTTTGAGACAGAGTCTCACTCTGTCGCTTAGACTGGAGTGCAATGGCACAATCTCGGCTCACTGCAACCTCCGCCTCCCGGGTTGAAGCAATTTTCCTGCCTCAGCCTCCTGAGTAGCTGGGATTACAGACATGCGCCACCACACCCGGCTAATTTTGTATTTTTAGTAGAGACGGGGTTTCTCCATGTTGGTCAGGCTGGTCTCGAACTCCCGACTTCAGGTGATCCGCCTGCCTCGGCCTCCCAAAGTGCTGGGATTACAGGAGTGAGCCACTGCACCGGCCCTGAATTTTTAGTAGAGACAGGGTTTCACCGGGTAGGCCAGGCTGGTCTTTGAACTCCTGACCTCAAATGATCCACCCGCCTCGGCTTCCCAAAGTGCTGGGATTACAAGTGTGAGCCACCACACCTGGCTCCGTGTAGTTTTTTTTTTTTTTTTTTTTTTTTGAGACAGAGTCTTGCTTTCTCACCCAGGTTGGAATGCAGTGGTGTGATCACAGCTCACTGCAGCCTCCGCCTCCTGGGCTCAAGTGATCCAAACACCTCAGCCTCCCAAGTAGCTGGGACTACAGGTGTGCACCACTACACCTGGGTAATTTTTGTATTTTTGGTAGAGATTGGGTTTCCTCATGTTGGCCAGGCTAGTCTTGAACTCCTGACCTCAAGTGATCCGCCTGCCTCCCCAAGTGCTGGGATTACAGGCGTGAGCCACTGCGACTGGCCTAGACTAGTGTTTGACCAAACAACTGACTACTACTATTAGTCTGGCCAAGTTGACACATAAAATTATCCATCACATCATACCTTGGATGTTTATTGTAAACTGCAATACATTTTAAAGTTTACAATAGGCCAGGTATGGTGGGAGGACGGCTTGAGCCCAGGAATCCCAGACCAGCCTGGGCAACAGAGCAAGATCCCACCTCTAAAAAAAAAAAAGAAAGAAAAAAAGTTTATATTAAAAAAAAATCCATCTGAGAGACTTCTGCTTATGGGAAGATGGAGTACACTTTCTTTTACCTATTCCACCTGCTAAATACAACAAAACCCTGGATATTATACATAAAACACAAAAGCTAAACACGGTGGCAGGTTCCTGTAATCTCAGCTATTCAGGAGGCTGAGGCAGGAGAATCGATTGAACCTGGGAGGTAGAGGTTGCAGTGAGCTGAGATTGCACCACTGTTCTCCAGCCAGGGCAACAGAGCAAGAGTCTGTCTCAAAAAACAGAAAAGAAAAGAAAACAAAAATGAAAAATGAAAAAACAACCCACTATTCTAGATGTTGCTGTGAAGGTATTTTCAGATGTGATTAACCTTTAAATCAGTATGCTTGGAGTAAAGCAGATTATCTTTCATAATGTGGGTGGGCCTCATCCAACCAGTTGAATGGCTTAGGAGGAAAGGCTGAGGTTCCCTTGAGAAGGAAGGAATTCTGCCTCCAGACTGACTACCTCTGGACCCAGGATTACGTAAACTGTTCCCTTGGTCTCTAGCTTGCTGACTCCCTAGTCAAGGTTTTGGACTTGCTAGCGCACATAATCATGAATCATGTCAGCCAATTCCTTAAAATAAATATTTGTCGTGTGTTTGTGTGTGTTTGTGTGTGTATGTATACATCCTATTGGTTGTATTGGGTCTCACTCTGTTGCCCAGGGTGGAGTGTAGTGGCGTGATCATGGTTCACTGCAACCTCCTGGGCTCAAGCCATCCTCCTGCCTCAGCCACCCGGGTAGCTGGGACTACAGGCGCGTGCTACCATGTCTGGTTATGGTTCTGTTTTTGTAGAGTGCCCTGACTAGTACCCATGATTTTCACTTTCTGGAATTTTTTTTTTTTTGAGACAGGATCTGTCTCTGTCACCCAGGCTAGAGTGCAGTGGTGCAATCACGGCTCACTACAACCTCCGCCTACCAGGCTTGAGCAATCCTCCCACCTCAGCCTGCCCAGTAGCTGGGACTGCAGGCACATACCACCACACCAAGCTGATTTTTGTATTTTTAGTGGAAATGGGGTTTCGCCATATTGCCCAGGCTGGTCTGGAACACTCTTGCCTTGGCCTCTCAAAATGCTGGGATTACATTAGCGAGCCACCAAGCCCGGCCTCTGGAATTTGTTATTCTCTTTATGTTCTATGTGCATTTTAAAATAATATGTATTCCCTGTTGAGATAATATATACTCTCAAATCCTGTATACTTTTTCTTATTTTTTGTGTACTTGATCTGTCCATTTCTGGGCGAGGTATGTTAAAATCAAGCACCCCAATTGTGGATTGTTCACTTTATTCTTTATTTCCATACAATTTTACTTTATTTTAAAGCTATGTTTTTAGATAGACAAATGCCTATGACTATTAGCTAGTCAACTTGCTGGCTGCTGTAACATATTACCACAAATCGAGTGGCTTGCGAAAATAAAATGTATCCTCTCACAGTTCTGGAGGCCAGAAGTCTGAAATCGAGGTGTCCCCATGGCCACACTTCCCCCGGAGGCTCTAGGAGAGAATGCTCCCCTGCCTTTTCCAGTGTCTGGCAGCTGCCAGCATTCCAACGCTTTCCTTGCTTTTGGAGCTTTATCATTCTAATCTCTGCTAGTGTCTTTATATCACTTTCGCTTCTGTGTGTCTGTGTCTTCTCCTCTCCTGTCTCTTATAAGGACACTTGTCATTGATTTTCGGGCCCTCTTGGATAATCTAGAATCATCTCCTTATCTCAGGTCCTTAATTCATTTACATCTCAAAGTTCCTTTTTCCAAATAAGGTAACATTCACAGATGTCAGGGATTAGGATATGGATGTATCTTTTGAGGGGGGCCATCATTCAGCCCGCTACAACCATGATAGCTTCTTGGTATATTATACCTTTTATAAAGATGAAATATCCCCCTTGGTCCCTTTTAATGCTTTCTGTTTTGAATTCTTTTGTTTGGCATTAATATTGCTATATTTGTTTTCTTTATATTAGTATTTTTATGCCATAATTTATTCTCTTATTTTCCAGATTTTTTTTTTTTTTTTTTTTTTTGAGACGGAGTTTCACTCTTGTTACCCAGGCTGGAGTGCAATGGCACGATCTCGGCTCACCACAACCTCTGCCTCCCGGGGTTCAGGTGATTCTCCTGCTTCAGCCTCCTGAGTAGCTGGGATTACAGGTGCCCGGCTAATTTTTTGGTATTTTTAGTAGAGATGGGGTTTCACCATGATGGCCAGGATGGTCGCGAATTCCTAACCTCAGGTGATCCACCTGCCTGGGCCTCCCAAAGTGCTGGGATTACAGGCATGAGCCACCATGCCTGGAATTTTCCAGCTTTTTACCAACTTGTTTTTGTTGTCTCTTGCAAACAGCATGTAGCAGAATTATTTTATTTATTTATTTATTTATTTATTTATTTATTTTTGAGACAGAGTCTCGCTCTTTGCCCAGGCTGGTGTGCAGTGGTGCAATCTCAGCTCACTGCAACCTCCTCCTCCCAGGTTCAAGCGATTCTCCTGCCTCAGCCTCCCGAGTAGCTGGGACTACAGGTGTGTGCCACCATGCCTGGGTAATTTTTGTATTTTTAGTAGAGATAGGGTTTCACCATGTTGGCCAAGCTGCCCCTGAACTCCTGACCTCAGGTGATCCACCCTCCTCGGCCTCTTAAAGTGCTGGGATTACAAGTGTAAGCCACCATGCCCAGCTAGCAATCATTGATTTTTAACATAACATTTAAATGTAACTTTCTATCAAAATCTAGAATTAATAACTATTGATTGCCCCCAAAACAAGACAAGGTTCTTAGAATGTGTTTCGTTTTCTATCCCTACCCCTTCATCTTTCATGAGATATCACCGAGAATTTAAATTATAGATTACTACTTCCATTGTATTTTATGTATTTGTTTACTTATTTATTTATTTTTTGAGACAGGGTCTCGTTCTGTCACCCAGGCTGGAGTGCAGTGGTGCGATCATAGTTCACTGCAACCTCTAACTCCTGGGATCAAGCAATCCTCCCAACTCAGCTTCCTAAGTATCTGGGACTAGAGGTGCCCACCACCACATCCAGCTAATTTAAAAATTTTTAGGCCAGGCAGGGTGGCTTACGCCTGTAATCCCAGCACATTGGGAGGCTAAAGCAGGCAGATCACGGGAGGTCAGGAGTTCGAGACCAGCGTGACAAACATGGTGAAACCCCATCTCTACTAAAAATACAAAAATTAGCCAGGTGTGGTGGCAGGCGCCTGTAATCCCAGCTACTGGGGAGGCTGAGGCAGGAGAATCGCTTGAACCCAGAAGGCGGAGGTTGCAGTGAGCCGAGATCGTGCCATTGCACTCTAGCCTGGGTGACAAGAGCGAGACTCCATCTCAGAAAAAAAAAAAATTTTAGTAGAGATGAGGTCTCACTAGGTTATCCAGGCAGATCTTAAACTCCTGGGCTTGATTCTCCCACAACTGCTTCCATTTTAAAACATCAGTTAGAGCTTTCTTAGACTTACCAATGCATTAGCTGCTTTCCTTGCTTACTGTTGCTTTGTGAGTCTCATGTCTTCTGGGATTCTGGGATGACATCTGTCACTCCTTTCAGCTGCTCAGCACCCGAAGGCCTTTTCCTATGCTCCAGACCTCCCACATCATGAGCAAGACCCTGCCTCTCACTAGCAAATGGGAAAGCACCAGACCCTTGGTTCCTTTGCAGCCAGACCCCAGGCATCTCTCTGGGGCTTCTCCAGGCAGGCTTTCCTGTTTGCCTGAAGGGCCACACCAAATCTGAACAGGGCACCAGGAGGCAATTCCACTTGGTCTCTACCTGCAGGATGGGCCTACTTCTAAGAGCAGCAACCATTTAATACGATATTTTTTTCCCCAGTGTCCTAAACACTTTTGAGTTAACATTAGTTGCCTAGGCTGGAGTGCAATGGTGTGATCTTGGCTCGCTGCAACCTCAGCTTCTTGGGTTCAAGCGATTCTCCTGTCTCAGCCTCCCCAGTAACTGGCGCGCCCAACCATGCCCAGCTAATTTTTTTGTGTTTTACTAGAGACGGGGTTTCACTACGTTGGCGAGGCTGGTCTCAAACTCCTAACCTCAAGTGATCCACCCACCTCAGCTTCTAGAAATGCTGGGATTACAGGTGTGAGCCACTGCACCCGGCCAGACATTATATTTCTAAGACATATTCATATTGATGTACCCACAGCTATAATTCATTCATTCGCAATGCTTTATTGTATTTAATGAGTAAAAGGCAGTTTTCCTTTCTGCTGTTTATGATCATTTGCCTTGTTTCCACTTTTTTCCCCCATTATAAATAATAGCCAGGCTCAGTGGCTCATAGATGTAATCCCAGCACTTTGGGGGCTGAGACAGGATTGCTTGACTGCAGAGGCTTGAGACCAGCCTGGGCAACATAGTAAGACCTCATCTCTGCTAAAAATGAAAACAAAAATAAATCAGCCAGGTATGGTAGCAGGTGCCTGTGGTCCCACCTACTCGGGAGGCTGAGGTGGGAGGATCACTTGAGCCCGGGAGGCGGAGGTTGCAGTGAGCTGAGATTGCACCACTGCAGTCCAGTCTGGGTGACAGAGCAAGACAACTGCCTCAAAATAAATAAATAATAAAATAAAATAAAATAATGAATTAATAAATTAAAATAAGAAACTGGGGGGCGATGTGAGTCCCAGACATTAGCATTTTTGCTAAGATTTTATTTTTATATAATTTAAAACTTACAGAAAAAAATACCAGAATAGTACAAAGAACTGCATGCCCTCTTCCCAGATTCACCATGTGTTAACATTTTGTCTCATTTGCTTGATCATATTGTCTTTCTCCCTCTTGAGTGTTTTTTTCTGGAACCATTTGAGAACAAGCTGAAGACATTATGTTTCTTTACCACTAAATATTTCAGTATGTGTTTCCTAAAACAAAGACATTTCCTTATATACTACAGTGCAGTTATTAATTTTAGGAAATATAACATTGATACAATACTCACATCCAATCTACAGTCCATAATCCCATTTAGCCAATTGTCCTAAAATGTCCTTGACGGTTGTTGTTTTTTGCTTTTTTTCTTTCCTGTCCAGAATCCAATCCAGGGCCATATCACTTTAATTTGCTTTAGTTCCTTAACCTGTCTTTATTTTTCATAAATTTGACATTTTTGAAAATTATAGTCCAGTAATTATGTAGAGTTTCCCTCAATTTGTCAGATGTTTCCACAAGGTTGTATTTGGGTTATGTTTTTCTGGCAGGAATATTACACCAGCGATCTTTCTTGGTGGGTCCTATCAGGAAACACATTATATCAATTTCACCCTTAATGGGGATGTTAACTTTGATCCTTTGGTTAAGGTGGCATCCGCCATGTTTCTCCACTGTGGAGATTCTGTTTTTTTACTTTGTAACTAAGGAGCACTTTCGTGGAGAGATACTTTGATACTATGTAAATATCTTGTTCCTTCTCAATCTCTGGCCTATATCCTGCAGCATCCACTGATAATTTTTTTTTTTTTTGAGACAGAGTTTCACTCTTGTTGCCTAGGCTGGAGTGCAATGGCGTGATCGTTGATCGTGGCTCACCACAACCTCTGCCTCCCTGGTCCCGGTTCAAGCAGTTCTCCTGCCTCAGCCTACTGAGTAGCTGGAATTACAGGCACGCGCCACCACATCCAGCTAATTTTTGTATTTTTAGTAGAGACGGGGTTTCACCATGTTGGCCAGGCTGGTCTCGAACTCCTGACCTCGTGATCCGCCTGCCTCGGCCTCCCAAAGTGCTGGGATTACAGATGTGAGCCGCCGTGCCTGGCTATCCACTGATAATTCTTGCTGGAATTAATTCCTGTCATGATGACAGAAAAACTTTCCTTTAAAAAAAAAGTGATTTAGCTGACTCTGAGCACATTGTCTATGGGTTAGCTCTGTTCTCCGAGAAGCAACAACAACAAAAATAGGCTGGGTGCAGTGGCTCACTCCTGTAATCCCAGCACTTTGGGAAGCGGAGGCGGGTGGATCACTTGAGGACAGGAGTTCAAGACGAGTCTGGGTAACACAGCAAAACCCTGTCTCTACTGAAAAATATTTTTAAAAATTAGCCTGGTGTGGTGGTGCATGTCTGTAATCCCAGCTATGCTCAGGAGGCTGAGGCACAAGAACCCCTTGAACCTGGGAGGCAGGGGTTGCAGTGAGCAGAGATCTCGCCACTTGCACTCCAGCCTGGGTGATGGAGCGAGACTCTGTCTAAATAAATAAAAATACAAAAATTAGGCCTGGCACGGTGGCTTACATCTGTAATCTAGCACTTTGGGAGGCCGAGGTGGGTGGATCACCTGAGGTCAGGAGTTCGAGACCAGCCTGGCCAACATAGTGAAACCCCATCTCTACTAAAAATGCAAAAATTAGCCGGTCATAGTGGCACATGCCTGTAGTCTCACCTACTCCGGAGGCTGAAGCAGGAGAATTGCTTGAACCCAGGAGGCAGAGATTGCAGTGAGCTGAGATCGTGCAACTGCACTCCAGCCTGGGTGACAGAGCAAGACCCCATCTCAAAAATAAATAAATAAATAAATGCAAAAAATAAAAAGTGATTTAAAAGCCAGGGGCGATGGCTCATGGCTGTAATTCCAGTACTTTGGGAGGCTGAGGTAGGAGGATTGCTTGAGTCCAGGAGTTTAAGACCAGCCTGGGCAACACAGTGAGACCCCGGCTCTACAAAGAAATTTAAAAATTAGCTGGGTGTGATAGTGTGGACCTGTAGTCTCAGCTACTCCGGAGGCTGAGGTGGGAGGATCACTTCAGCCTGGGAGGTCAAGGCTGTGGTGAGCTGTAATGGTGGCACTGCAGCCTTGGCAACTCTGTGAGACCCTGTCTCAAAAATAAATAAATAAATGTATACATAAATAAGTGATTTAAGTTTATTCCTTTTTCTTTGTAACCAAAAGAGTCCACCTAAAACAAAACAAAAGTTGGAATCAAAAGTGGGTTTCCGTGGAAGTGATCCTGAGTCCGATAAGGATCCTGAGTCCGATAAGGAGCCTGGATAGTTGAAGTAGAATGTTTCTATCCAAGGTTTGCATGAGAGAGTCACTAATTAATCTGTCACCTGGGGGATCTTGGACTTTAAACATGGGCACTGTTAGCAGGCATTTGGTCAATTGGTGGCTTTAGCTCTGGGTCAATTCCAGGAGAGAAAGTGTATTTTGAGCTTTCTAGACTGGATTAGTTACTGTATTATAAATTCCTAGGGCACCTTGCCAAAGCTGTTCTGCTACTTTGTTTTAATGTCTGTCTGTCCCTCTGGATGGCAGACTTTGGAACAGCAGGCACTCAGAAGCATGGCCCATGTTCTAAGAGGCAGGAGCTGCTCCATGCATTGGGAGAAGATTGAAAACATTAAATAAGGAACCTCCTTGGGCTTTTCTCTCTGTCTCATGTCTCACTTTTATAAGCGTCCTCTGATGTCTTTCTTTTTTTTTTTTTTTGAGACAGTCTTGTTTTGTCGCCCAGGCTAAAGTTCAGTGGCATGATCTTGGCTCACAGCAACCTCCACCTCCTGGCTTCAAGCGATTCTCCTGCCTCAGCCTCCTGAGTAACTGGGATTACAGACACCTGCCACCATGCCCAGCTAATTTTTGTATTTTTAGTAGAGATGGGGTTTCACCATGTTGGCTAGGCTGGTCTTGAACTCCTGACCTCAAGTGATATGCCTGCCTCAGCCTCCCAAAGTGTTGGGATTACAGGCCACTGCGCCCAGCCTAAAACAACGTTTGAACATTAGAATTAAGAATTTTTTTTTTGTAGAGATTGGGGGGTGTCTCACTATGTTCCAGGCTGGTCCAGAACTCCTGAGCTCAACCTATCCTTCAGCCTTGACCTCCCAAAATGCTGGGATTACAGATGACAGCCACCTAACTCAGATACCACTTTCTTTTTAAATATAGACTTCCCGGGCCAGGTGCGGTGGCTCATGCTTGTAATCCCAGGAGGCCGAGGCGGGTGGATCAGCTGAGGTCAGGAATTTGAGATCAGCCTGACCAACATGAAGAAACCCTGTCTCTACTAAAAATACAAAATTAGCTGGGCATGGTAGCATATGCCTGTAATCCCAGCTACTCGGGAGGCTGAGGCAGGAGAATCACTTGAACCCAGGAGGCAGTGAGCCGAGACTGCACCATTGCACTCCAGCCTGGGCAACAAGAGTGAAACTCTGTCTCAAAAATAATAATAATAATAATAAATAAAAATAAAAATAGACTTCCAGCTGGGCGCAGTGGCTCACGCCTGTAATCCCAGCACTTTGGGAGGCCGAGACCGGTGGATCACGAGGTAAGAAGATCAAGACCATCCTGGCCAACATGGTGAAACCCCATCTCTACTAAAATACAAAAAATTAGCAGGGTATGGTGGCGCGCACCTGTAGTCCCAGCTATTTGGGAGGCTGAGACAGGGGAATTGCTTGAACCTGGGAAGTGGAGGTTTCAGTGAGCTGTGATCACGTCACTGCATTCCAGCCTGGGCAACAGAGACTCTGTCTCAAAAAAAAAAAAAATTAAAAATTAAATAAATAAAAATGGACTTCTATTTACTTTTAGTATTAATAGTATAAATAAGTATTGGTAGTAGGAGCATTAAAAGTCAAGCCAGCCATGGTGAAGTGAGGCTGCAGTTGATGCTACTCAGGAGGCCAAGGCAGGAGGATCATTTGACCTCAGGAGTTTGGGACCAGCGTGGACAACATAGCATAGCGAGACCCTGTCTTGATGAAAAAGTTAAAAAATTAGCCAAGTATGGTGGTGTGCGCCTGTGATCCCAGCTATTCAGGAGGCTGAGGCAGGAGGATCATTGAGCTCAGCAGGTCGAGGCTGCAATGAGCCAAGACTGCACCACTGTGCTCCAATCTGGGTGACAGGTGTACTTGCTGTTTTTTTTTTTTTTTTTTTTTTTTTGAGACGGAGTCTTGCTCTGTCACCAGGCTGGAGTGCACCGGCACGATCTTGGCTCACTGCAACCTCTGTCTCCTGGGTTCAAGATATTCTCCTGCCTCAGCCTCCTAAGTAGCTGGGATTACAGGCACGTGCCATCACACCCAGCTAATTTTTGTATTTTTAGTAGAGATGGGGTTTCACCATGTTGCCCAGGCTGGTCTCGAACTCCTGACCCCAGGTGATCCGCCCACCTTGGCCTCCCAAAGTGCTGGGATTACAGGTGTGAGCTACCGTGCCCAGCTGTAATTACTTCTTGCCTCCTTTCTGTTTGGGATTCCCACCTCATCAAACTGTTTAGGTACTGGGAGTTCTTAGTAGTTTTTCTCTGATATTGAATCCTTTCCTCCTGAACTTTGAACATCAGCTGGACCCTCTTCTGGCTTCTGCAGCGGCATCATCTCTGCCACCACCTTCTCTCTTTCTGAAGGCAAGCCCACAATGTGGTGGAAACTGCCCGTGAACGCAGCATCCATTCTTTGCTGATATGGGGATTCTCCTTCTCGATTCATTCTCGTCTTCTGCCTCTGCGCTGAAGTGAGAAGCAGATTCGAGATCTTTTCTTTTCTGTTTTTATTTTTTATTTGTTTTATTTTTTTTATTGCAGCAGAGGCTCACTCTGTTGCCCAGGATGGAGTGCAGTGGCGCAATCTGGGATCGCTGCAACCTCCACCTCCCAGGTTTAAGCAATTCTCCTGCCTCAGCCTCCTGAGTAGCTGGGATTACAGGCACGCACCACCACACCCGGCTAATTTTGTATTTTTAGTAGAGATGGGGTTTCTCCATGTTGGCCAGGCTGGTCTTGAATTCCTGACCTCAGGTGACCCGCCCGTCTCGACCTCCCAAAGTGCTGGGATTACAGGCGTGAGCCACCGCGCCTGGCTGAGATCTTTTCTAACAAGATGAACGGTATGGACTCTCCTTCCTGTACTGGTAAGTTGCAAGGACTTTTGTTTTCTCTTCTTTACCCAAGTTTGTGGAGAGATTGCCTCCTGGGGAGGGTGAGTGCTTAGCCCTGGCCCTGGGGCCGCCCTGGTGGCCTCCCTCTCCTCTTTCTCTCCATCTCCCCCTCCCCCACCCTCCACATTTTTATCCCTCTTTGAAATCACTTTGGAGTTTTTACCATTTTTGTTCATCTCTTTCCTAGGCACCAGCCCCCTTCTGCTCTGGTGTGCTGTTCTCCTCCAAGTCCAGATCTTCCTCTCTCCCGGGGTTTCTCACCGTTTCCCCACGGTGCCCAGGTTTTGTCAGCTCTTCATGGCTTTCTGTGAGGGCTTCATAAATACAGCAGAGATGTCACTGGTTACAGACATTTTCTCCCAGTTTGTTGTTTGCTTGCCTTTCGTTTCATAGTTTTTGCCCTACAGAAGTTGATGTATTTTTTCTTTTTCTTTATGGTCTCTGATTTGGGCTCTAGGGAAAGGAAGGAAGGCCTTCTTTCCTCTGAGATACTAATTAGTTCATTAATTCTTGTTTGGTCTATGACTTTCTTGGCTTCAGTTTTTTTTTCTTTTTCTTTTTTTTCTGGTCTCAAACTCCCTACCTCAGGTGATCCGCCCGCCTCAGCCTCCTAAAGTGCTGGGATTACAGGCGTAAACCACCGCACCTGGCCTCAAGTGGAACGCTTTACTTTTCTTTTTCTTTTTGTTTTTATTTCTGTAGAGATAGGGTTTCGCCATGTTGCCCAAGCTAGTCTTGAACTCCTGGCCTCAAGCAATCCTCCCACCTTGACCTCACAAAGTGCTGGGATTACAGGTTGGAACCACCACCCCTGACCTGAAAATTCTTTGGTTTTTTTTTTTTTGTTTTTTTTTGTTTTTTGAGACAGAGTCTCACTCTGTCACCCAGGCTGGAGGGTGCAATGGTAGGATCACCACTCACTGCAACTTCTGCCTCCCAGGTTCAATTGATTCTCCCCCATTTCCACTTCAGCCTCCTGAGTAACTGGGACTACAGGTGCATGCCACCAACCGGACTAATTTTTTTTTTTTTTTTTTCCTGAGACAGAGTCTCGCTCTGTCGCCCAGGCTGGAGTGCAGTGGCGTGATCTCGGCTCACTGCAAGCTCCGCCTCCCGGGTTCACGCCATTCTCCTGCCTCAGCCTCCCGAGTAGCTGGGACTACAGGTGCCCGCCACCACGTCCGGCTAATTTGTTGTATTTTTAGTAGAGACGGGGTTTCACTGTGTTAGCCAGGATGGTCTCCATCTCCTGACCTCGTGATCCGCCCACCTCGGCCTCCCAAAGTGCTGGAATTACAGGCGTGAGCCACCCTGCCCTCCCTGAAAATCCTCATATATTAAGCCAAGAAAAGGGAGATATATTGGAAAGAGGCTGAGTTTCCTCATTCCATCAAAGGACTTGTGGGCAGCCAGCCTGTAGCAGCTCTGCTGGGCCTCAGGTATTCCTGGGGCGGGGCGGGAACGCTGAGGCGCATTCTTGTCTCTGCTCGTCTGCGTCTCAGCTGCATTCTCTCTTACACACGTAAAAAACGAGGAATGAACATGGCAGCCCATGCATCCAGGTTTCATAGCTTGTGGCAGCAGAGACAGACTGCTTTCCTGTGTTTTGTTTGAGAACATTCCCAGGGAAGGGACTTTCTTTGGCCTGGCTTGGGTCAGGTGTCCTCCTGAGACCAGTCCACTCTGGCCAGGGGTGGGCTGTCTCCGTTCCAGGCAGATCCTCTGGGCCCACAGGATTGGAGACGGACAGTTCTCAGAAGAAGGGAAGGTGCTGGAAGATAAAGCACCCGTGACTTCATGTATTTCCCTCATACGGGCTCGTGCCTGTAATTCCAGCACTTTGGGAGGCCGAGGCGGGTGGGTCGCCTGAGGTTAGGAGTTCGAGACCAGCCTGGCCAACATGGTGAAACCCCGTCTGTACTAAATATACAAAAATTAGCTGGGTGTGGTGGTGCGGCCTGTAGTCCCAGCTACTCGGGAGGCTGAGGCAGGGTAATCGCTTGAACGCGGGAGGTTGCAGTGAGCTGAGATTGCGCCACTGCATTCCAGCCTGGCCAGAGAGGGAGACTCCGTCTCGAAAAAAAGAAAATAGAAATCCGGGTCTACTACACCTCCCTGCTCTGGTTCAGCTGAACCTACTTCTGTCCACAAATCAAGAGCAGGTCTTTGTGTGGAGTGGAGAGGGGGCCCTCCTCTGGCCAGCCTGGGGATATTTGTGCTGTGAGGGCACTGAAGGCAGAGAGGCCGCGGCCTGGCAGCCTGGCCGCTGGAGTCAGCTGCAGCTGTTCTGCGCTGCTAGCCAGAAGCCGGCAGGCGACGGGAGTGGCTTCCTGTTGAGCTAGTTCTTTTGGGTCTTACTTGGAAGTCAAAGCATCCCGGGGTGTGTGTGTCTGTGTGTGTGTCTGTGTGTGTGTGTGGGTCCATGCCTGTGTCTGTGTGTATGTGTGTATCTGGGTCTGTGTGTGTGTGTGTGTGTCTGGGTGTGTGTGTGTGTGTCTGGGTGTGTGTGTGTGTCTGTGTTTGCGTGTCTATGTGTCTGTGTCTGCGTGTGTCTGTGTGTATCTGCGTGTGTCTGTGAATGTGTGTGTGTGTGTGTGTCCGTGGCTGTGTGTGTGGCTGTGTGTGTGTCTGTGTTTCTGTGTGTGTTTGTGTGTCTGTGTCTGTGTGTGTGTGTGTCTTTGTGTCTGTGTCTCTGTGTGTCTGTGTGTGTGTCTGTGTATCTGTGTATGTGTGTGTCTCTGTGTGTGTGTGTGTGTGTGTCTGTGTGTCTGTGTGTCTGTGTGTGTAGGGGAATTGTCAGGCAGCCCATTCAGGTTCTGGGGAATTTTCATTATGAAAATACGAACCATCAGCCCTGGCTAGCAGGCCTGTGCCTGACTCCACTAACTCGGCAGGAAGTCTCAGCCCCCGAGGCAGTCCTCACTGTGAGCAAACCAAACCTAGACAAAGACGGTGGCTGAGCGTTGCTCCCAGCGCTGGCAGGAACGGTGGCTGAGCTTTGCTCCCAGCACTGGCAGGAACGCACTGCTGTGATGTGGGAAGTGGCAAGAGCCCCTTCCGGAAACTCCTCCAGCATGAGGAGCAAGGCAAGCCCCTGGGATGCACTGGTCACTCACAAGTTGCAGCTCCAGCCCCTGGCTCTCAGGTGAATGCGGTCTATGTGTGAGGCCCATGGCCACTGCAGCCTTCCAGGAATGAGGATTTCTACTCACTGTAACCCGCACCTCTCCTATGCAGGTTGTTGGCTCAAATGTAGTTTTGTTAACTATTGCATTTTATTATTATTATTATTTTGAGACAGAGTCTCACTCTGTCACCAGGCTGGAGTGCAATGGCACGATCTAGGCTCACCGCAACCTCTGACTGCCTGGTTCAAGGGGATTCTCCTGCCTCAGCCTCCCGAGTAGCTGGGATTACAGGTGTAATCCCCTGGCTAATTTTTTGTATCTTTAGTAGAGACGGGGTTTCACCATGTTGATCAGGCTGGTCCCAAACTACTGACCTCGTGATCCGCCCGCCTCGGCCTCCCAAAGTGCTGGGATTACTGGTGTGAGCCACCGTGCCCGACTAAGTTTTCTATTTTTAGTAGAGACAGGGTTTCACCATGTGGGTCAGGCTGGTCTTGAACTCCTGATCTCAAGTGATCCACCTGCCTTGGCTGCCCAAAGTGCTGGGATTACAGGCACGAGCCACCTCACCCAGCCCACTATTGCATTTTCTATGTTGTGGGGTGTGTGTGTGATGTATTGTTTATACATGATGTAGTTGTGGTGCTTAAGTTGAGGATTTAGCCCATCATTTGGAGAATGGATGGAAATCAGACCTGAGTGAAACTACTTAGAGCAGGGGACACTGGACTCTGGGCTGAGAGTGTTTTTTTTTTTTTTTTTTTTTTTTGAGACTGAGTCTTGCTCTGTCACCAGGCTGGAGTGCAGTGGCGTGATCTTGGCTCACTGCAAGCTCCGCCTCCCGGGTTCACGCCATTCTCCTGCCTCAGCCTCCCGAGTAGCTGGGACTACAGGCGCCCGCCACCATGCCCGGCTAATTTTTTTTTTTTAATTTTTAGTAGACACGGGGTTTCACCATGCTAGCCAGGATGGTCTTGATCTCCTGACCTCGTGATCCGCCCGCCTCGGCCTCCCGAAGTGCAGGGATTACAGGCGTGAGCCCCCGCGCCCGGCCCGGAGTGTTTTCTTGAAGGACCCTTGCCATAATCACTTTTTTTTTTAATTCCCCCAATCATTTATCCTTTAAGTTACCAACCATGCAATTACACTCTTAAGTTTTTTTTAACATGTACAATGAAATTATTATTGACTACAGTCACTCTGTTGTGCTATCAAATAGTAGGTCTTATTCTATTTTTTTTGTACCCATTAACCATCCCCACCATCCACCTACCTGCCCACTACCCTTCCCAGCCTCTGGTAACCATCCTTCTACTCTCTATGTCCATGAGGTCAATTGTTTTGATTTTTAACTCCCACAAATAAGTGAGAACATGCAATGATTGTCTTTCTGTGCCTGGCTTATTTCACCTAACATAATGATCTCCAGTTCCATTCATGTTGTTGCAAATGACAGGATCTCATCCTTTTTTATGGGTGAATGGTGCTCCATTGTGTATATGTACCACATTTGCTTTATCCATTCATCTGTGTTTTTCTTTTTTCTTTTTTTTTTAAACAGTTTTCTCTCTTGTTTCCCAGGCTAGGATGCAGTGGCATGATCTTGGCTCACCATTCATCTGTTTTTTAAAATTTTATTTATTTATTTACAGATGAGGTCTCACTATATTGCCCAGGCTGGTCTTGAACTCCCAGGCTCAAGCAATTCTCCTACCTCAGCCTCCCAGTGATGACCAATGATGCTGAGCACGTTTTCTTATACCTGTTTGGCATTTGTGTGTCTTATTTTGAGAAGCGTCTATTCAAATCTTCTGCCCTCTTTTTGATCAGATTATTAGATTTTTTTTCTCATAATCACTTTTTGAAGCAAGATTTCAAGTTTGAATCCTGCTGGGGAGGATAGAGTGAATTTATATTAACTGTATTAATTTATGTATATTTCATATATTTGTATATATTTCAGCTCTAGCAGTGAGAATGGCATCCTGGCAGGCCGTTTTGGGAGCTAAACATATAGGAGAAGTGGGCTGGGTTGCTAGAGGGTGAATTACCAGACATGTGGTGTCAGGGCCTGCCACACCCACTATCCATCCTAAACAAGGCAGTCTTAGGCCAACCCCATGATCCTTCTTCAGTGTTGGCACCCCAAGCCCTCAGAGCATCAGGCAGTAGCAACGGGAACAAAAGTGCTGCCTCTGCAGAGAGAAGCCAAGAAGTTGGTCTGGGGCTAAGACCATGGTGAAATGATGCACAGGTGACGAGAAAGCAGAAACTACACAGTAGAAAGGGGACATGCAAAGTAGGGGGAATGGGCAGTGCTGACGAAGTGAGAGGAGCAGAGAGCGGACAGAGCGGCAGAGACAGATCAGGAGACAGGCTCTGGAGCTGCCTTGGCCTCTGACACTGGTCTAGTAAGTTCCAGTCCATGTGCAAGACTACAGGAAACCTAGGAGAAACTTCATTTTTTTGTTTTTTGAGATGGAGTCTCACTCTGTCACCCGGGCTGGAGTGCAGTGGCACGATCTCGGCTCACTGCAACCTCCGTCTCCCAGGTTCAAGTGATTCTCCTGCCTCAGCCTCCCGAGTAGCTGGGATTACAGGTGCCAGCCACCACACCCAGCTAATTTTTGTGTTTTTAGTAGAGATGGGGTTTCACCATGTTGGCCAGACTGGTCTCGAACTCTTGACCTCAGGTGGTCCACCTGCCTTGGCCTCCCAAAGTGCTGGGATTACAGGTGTTGAGCCACCGCATCCAGCCGGAAACTTCATTTTTTTGAGATAGGGTCTCGCTTGTCACCCAGGCTGGAGTGTAGTGTGATCGTAGCTCACTGTGTCCTTGATCTCTTAGGGTCAAGCAATCCTCCCGCCTCAGCCTCCTAAGTAGCTGGGACTACAGGCATGCACCATGATGCCTGGCTAATATTTTTTGTTGTTGTTTATTTATTTTTGTAGAGATGGGGGGTCTCACTGTGTTGCCCAGGCTGGTCTTGAACTCCTGGGCTCAAGTGATGCTCCAGCCTCAGCCTCCCAAATAGTTAGGATTACAGGCATGAGCCACTGTGCCTGGCCAAAACCTTGCTTTTCTGACAGATCTGATTCACCCTAGCTACAGATTCTATAGCACCTGTTTATTTTTATGCTTCTCATAGTCTGGCATCACTGGCTGTTGATAGGTCTCTGTCATTAGATGATAACTCCTTGAGGCTTGTTTTATCCATCTCAATAACCGTAGCACTCGGCCCTGTAAGGGGGAACTTTGTAGGTGTCCACTGATGTTTGAATAAATATTTGCATTTATCACAATTCTTGTCCCAAGCCTTGACGCGGAAGCTCTGGAATAAGCAGCAGCACAGATTTGAGACTTAGTCCATGTACCAGCCACATGCAAAGAGGTAAGCTGGGTCAAAGAGACCCAGAAAGGGAGTCTGAAATGGAAATCGTGGGGTTGATAAGGCAGCAGTGGAAACAGAGGCTTTACACAAGTGTGGGAAATGGACTAGGAGGACACTCTGTTATTTGATGTGTCCTCGCTTGTAACATGGAGGTGATTATGACCTACCTCATAGGTGGGGGAAGGAGACCCAAAGGTGATGGACCCGAAAGTGTTTTGTGAAGGGTAAAATAAACACAGGTGTGCGAGATCAATAGAGTTGATTGATAAGTCTCATGCATTATTGCCAATCTACTTGTGTGACCCTGGATCCCGACCTTAGCATCCCCTTTCATGTATTCAGGACAGTGATCATTGCTTTGCTGGACTGCTGTGAGGAAATGAGATGTAAGCAGAAAATATGCTTAGGCCAGCCCCTCCTACCTCACGAGGAACACCTGGACAGTTTCCTAAAAATACAGATTCCTGGCACCCTAGTCCCGAAATCATAATTCTCTGGGAATGGAGCCTAGGAATCTGAATTTAAAATAAGCACCCCTCCAGGTGATTAGAATGGTTCAAGAAGGCTTTAAAAAACACTGAGGCCGGGCGTGGTGGCTCACACCTGTAATCCTAACCCTTTGGGAAGCTGAGGCAGGAGGATCGCTTTAGCCCAGGAGTTTGAGAGCCGCAGTGAACTATGGTGGTGCCACTGTACTCCTGTCTGGGTGACAGAGTGAGATCCTGTCCCCCCACCCCCTGCAAAAAACAAAAAACAAAAAAAGAAACAGAAAAACAAAAAACATCGAGGCTGGGCGCGGTGGCTCACGCCTATAATCCCAGCACTTTGGGAGGCCCAGGTAGGTGGCTCACGAGGTCAGGAGATCGAGACCATCCTGGCTAACATGGTGAAACCCCATCTCTACTAAAAAATACAAAAATTAGCCGGGCATGGTGGCATGCGCCTGTAGTCCCAGCTACTCCAGAGGTTGAGGCAGGAGAATCGCTTGAACCCGGGAGGCGGAGGTTGCAGTGAGCCGAGATCATGCCACTGCACTCCAGTCTGGGCGCCAGAGCGAGACTTGGTCTCAAAAAAATTTTTTTTAAAAAGGAACATCAAAAGGATCTATTAAGGTGTCATCAGGTGTGTGTGTATGTGTGCACGTGTGTGTTTAGGAGAGTAGGATGGGAAGACGGTACTATCATCTGTGACCACAAGGTGGCAGCAGGGATAGACAAGGAGAAACAAGTCTCCCACCCAGAGGGGCTGGGCATGGGCAAACCTGGCGATCAGGTTGTGGAAGGAGGTGGGTCCTTTACATGATCTCCTTTGCTAGATGGAATCTCTGTACCGCAGGGCTAATCCCCTGTGACCACCTGTCTCTTTATCAGGTCTTTATGGAGACTGTTTTTTGCCACTCTGTCGGCAAGAAAGGCATTGTGAGCTTGGGTGGTGATAGTGTGTGTTCCACATGGGTGAGAATGGGAGGCAAGGGGTGTGTCACATCCCCAGATGTGTTCATCAGTCAGGGTCACCTACACAGGGCAGCTTACTCAAAGGACAACAGTGCCTGCTGAAAGCAGTGTCTCCCACCCCCTGCTACTAGAATTGTGGTTGCAGGTGCCTCTCAGGAGACGCCCACATCTGTGGCTGGGGAGTTGGCCAAATACCAGGCAAAGGACGCTGGGCTGGGGCGGGGCAGGGGCAGGAAACACAGGATGGGGCAGCTGCCTCTGGAAGCAGCCAAAATGTCCCCAGCTGCAGCAGGGGTGAGCAGAGGATTAGGTGACAGTCCCCTAACAGCCCGGAACTAACACCCTCCTCCCCCTCACACAGGCACCCTGGCATGCCCCCTCCAAGCCTGCCAGAGCTCAGAATAACCCTGAGAACCACGCAGCAGGATGGCAAGGGCTCCGCTTGGGGTCCTGCTCCTCTTGGGGCTTCTCGGTACGGACAGGGGCTAGAGGGGCAATTGGACACACACAGATACTGACATGAAGGGACTGGGAAGACAAAGACAGAGACCAAGATGGAGACTTAGACACAGTATTTCGTTCCCAGGCACAGCATAATTGGTTTAGGAGACAGATACTGATAGTACACAGCCTCAGAGGCCTGTGAGGACCCAGGGGAGGCAGAGGGGAGAGAGGTGCTCCAGCCTCTTCATTGCCAATGACCCTTCCTTCTTGACCCCATCGCAGGCAGGGGTGTGGGGAAGAACGAGGAACTGCGTCTTTATCACCATCTCTTCAACAACTATGACCCAGGAAGCCGGCCAGTGCGGGAGCCTGAGGATACTGTCACCATCAGCCTCAAGGTCACCCTGACGAATCTCATCTCACTGGTAAGCTACCCCCACCCTCATCTTAAGCCAAAAATCCCACTTCTGGCCCCAACCGCTGAGCTCTGTCCTAAAGCTCACTTCTGGCCCTGAAATCTCACTTCAATCATCCCCATCTCCCATCTGCAGAATGAAAAAGAGGAGACTCTCACCACTAGCGTCTGGATTGGAATCGTGAGTCAAATCTGGGGAATGGTGTGAGGTCTTGTCCAGGGCACCCCTTTTCCCCCAAACCCCTCCCAGGCAGCGCCAGGTGGGAGATGCAGGGCACGCGGCCTTCCATCCCCCACCCCTTAGGATTGGCAGGATTACCGACTCAACTACAGCAAGGACGACTTTGGGGGTATAGAAACCCTGCGAGTCCCTTCAGAACTCGTGTGGCTGCCAGAGATTGTGCTGGAAAACAAGTGAGAACCGGGCCAGACGCCAGGCTGGAGGGAAGCCGGCCTGGGGTGCGGGCTGGACTTGGTTGGGGAAGGGGGTACTCTGAGAGGGTGCAGACCTGTGCAAAAAGCTCGGTTTCCCCGAGCCCACAGTATTGATGGCCAGTTCGGAGTGGCCTACGACGCCAACGTGCTCGTCTACGAGGGCGGCTCCGTGACGTGGCTGCCTCCGGCCATCTACCGCAGCGTCTGCGCAGTGGAGGTCACCTACTTCCCCTTCGATTGGCAGAACTGTTCGCTTATTTTCCGGTGGGAAGAGCTACTCCGAGGCCCGGACGATTATTGTTGGGGGGGGGCCTTATGGGGCGGGGCCAACCGGGAAGCACCGCCCTCGGGGCGGGGCTTCGCGCTGGAGGCGGAGCCAGGCGTAGGCACTGGGTGGGACGCTCCAGCGCGGCCGGAGGTACAGATGGGAACAGAGGCGTGCGGGCTGGGCTTGGGTGAAGGGGTGGGCTTGGGATCGCGGCCCCGCTAGATCCCAGCTTCCAGGGCTGGGCCTGAGGCCGGGGCCCAGGTCAGAGCTTCTGGGGTGGGCTCCCGGCCCTGGCTCCGCAGCTCTCAGACGTACAATGCCGAAGAGGTGGAGTTCACTTTTGCCGTAGACAACGACGGCAAGACCATCAACAAGATCGACATCGACACAGAGGCCTATACTGGTGAAGCCCCTGCCTGCTCAGAAAAACCCGCTTCTAGACGGGGTCCAGAGAGGGGACTTCCACGGTGGGCTTGCCCCGGACCAACGACACTGGAGGATGACTTCCACAACTGGGTTTAGCTTACCCCTGTCCTGAAATCATTCTCGATTGTTACTCTAGTCCTGCCTTCTGGCTTTCCATACCCTCAACGAGAATGCCCTTTTCTGTCCGTAATTGCCCCCATCCTGACGGCCCATGACCCTGGTGCAGACAGCCGCAGCCTCCTCTTCAGCCCGCTGTCAGCTCGGCGGGCGCCCCGCTCTGACAGCCAGCTGACCGTGCCCCCGTCCCGCAGAGAACGGCGAGTGGGCCATCGACTTCTGCCCGGGGGTGATCCGCCGCCACCACGGTGGCGCCACCGACGGCCCAGGGGAGACTGACGTCATCTACTCGCTCATCATCCGCCGGAAGCCGCTCTTCTACGTCATTAACATCATCGTGCCCTGTGTGCTCATCTCGGGCCTGGTGCTGCTCGCCTACTTCCTGCCGGCGCAGGGTAAGCAGTGGCCCCGAACCTACCCCCAAACCCGGGCTCGCTCCCGGGAGGCGGGGCCCGCTCTCACTGGCTCTCCCTCCAGCCGGCGGCCAGAAATGCACGGTCTCCATCAACGTCCTGCTCGCCCAGACCGTCTTCTTGTTCCTCATTGCCCAGAAAATCCCAGAGACTTCTCTGAGCGTGCCGCTCCTGGGCAGGTGAAGCCGGAGCCCCCGCGGGGGTGTGGCCAGTGTGAAGGGTGGGGGCGTGGCCAAAACCCAGAGACCCCGGGAAAAGCTCTGGCTGTCTCGCCCCGCCCTGGGCTTTATTCGGACGCTGGGTGGGGCTGGTACGGGGATGGAGTCCCTGGTCCGCCGTCCTCCTCACTGCTGCTGGACGTCACCTGGAGGTCTCCCGAGTAGCTCTCTTGGGGGACAGTCCGGCTCAGTGCCTCCCTAGCCCCGCCGCCTCTGGCCCCTAACTCACCCCGTGTCCTGAGCTCACCGGTTCTCCGGGGATTCCGAGGCCTAGCTGCTGTTGCGACTGTCGCAGGAATGAGGCAGACCCCTGCAGACCCCGTCCACACAGGCATAGCCATGCTCCCTGGACTAGGAGCCGGGCGCTGGCGCCCACCGCAGCCCCAGCTTGCCGAACCCCCTGCCCTGCGGCTTGGGCTACCCGGCTCAGCGCTGCACCCGGATCCCTGCCGTCTGGGGCTGGGCCCGCGCTGCCGTCTAGTCGCCGCGCCTCCTGCTGCAGCCACAGGGCTGAGATCTGCATTGGGGGCACAGGGGTTAGCGGGGAGGCAGAGGTCCTTGTTCCCGCTACCCGATCGCCGCGTATCCTAAGCCCCCCAGTACCCCACCTCTAACAAGGTGGTGCCGAAGCTCACGAGGCTGGCTGTGGCTTCTCTCAACACCAGCCCCAGGGTGGGCTTCGGGGCAGGCAGCATCCCCTGCATCTTCGGTTCGGGTGGCTCCAGGGACTTCAGCTCTCTGAACCTCTGCTCCAGATATTCATGGGCTGCGGCCACGGAGAGTTCCAGGGAAGACAGAAGCGGGGGCTGGAGGGCCACCTGGAGAAGGAGCAGAGCAGTAGAGTAGCAGGGCAGGGGTCACAGGGGCGAACAGGAGACCTACCCAGAAGGTCTCGAGGTGCAGCCCTTGGCGGGCGTAGCCTCACCTCGGTGGAGCTGTGGAAGTGGTAGATCCACATCAGGGTGTCCAGGGAGCTGGGGGTCCCCTTCATGGCCGCCACAAGTGGTAGGACAGGAGAAGGGCTGGGGGACGCGTCTGTCGTCGTGTAGGGGGCGCAGCTGGAGGGCGTAACCAGCCCGTACCAGGAGAAGCCGTGTTTGTGAGGTCAGCGCGCGGCGCCTTCGGTAGCTGGGAGGAGGAACGGTGATGTCATGCCTTCCGGGCTCCTCAGGTTCCTTATTTTCGTCATGGTGGTCGCCACGCTCATTGTCATGAATTGCGTCATCGTGCTCAACGTGTCCCAGCGGACGCCCACCACCCACGCCATGTCCCCGCGGCTGCGCCACGTAAGCGCGGAGGGGGCGGTGCAGCCCGGGTCGGGGTGGGGCTTCGTACTAACCTCGTCCCCTAAGCCCCGCCCCTGCCCCAGGTTCTCCTGGAGCTGCTGCCGCGCCTCCTGGGCTCCCCGCCGCCGCCCGAGGCCCCCCGGGCCGCCTCGCCCCCAAGGCGGGCGTCGTCGGTGGGCTTATTGCTCCGCGCGGAGGAGCTGATACTGAAAAAGCCACGGAGCGAGCTCGTGTTTGAGGGGCAGAGGCACCGGCAGGGGACCTGGACGGGTGAGCACAGTGGCCCTGGCCCGGGGGGCCGCGCGGGGTGCCTGCCAGGGGGGAGGCTCCTAAGGCCCACCCCGGTGTTTTCCCCGCCAGCTGCCTTCTGCCAGAGCCTGGGCGCCGCCGCCCCCGAGGTCCGCTGCTGTGTGGATGCCGTGAACTTCGTGGCCGAGAGCACGAGAGATCAGGAGGCCACCGGCGAGGTGGGACAGGAGCCAGAGGCGGGTGGAGCGAGGCAGAGGCCCACCACTGTCTCCCATGCCGCTGGCTCCTGCAGCTGCCTCTTTACTGACTGTGCCGACCCTTCCCCAGGAAGTGTCCGACTGGGTGCGCATGGGGAATGCCCTTGACAACATCTGCTTCTGGGCCGCTCTGGTGCTCTTCAGCGTGGGCTCCAGCCTCATCTTCCTCGGGGCCTACTTCAACCGAGTGCCTGATCTCCCCTACGCGCCGTGTATCCAGCCTTAGCTCGCACCGACTTCAATTTCCCACCCATCTCCAGTAGGAAATTGATTTTGAAAAAGTAGGCTGCCGCCACCACGGCATTATGATCCCTTCCCCCTGCTGATCAATCTGCAGTTTGTGAACTTCACAAGAATGGTGTGTGCCCGTTCCCTGGCGTGTGTAGGCCTGGCCGCAGTCCAGGGGTCAGCAGGAGGAAAGGGTTCACATAGGCTCTCAGGTGCCAGTCTTCCAGAAAGCAAGGACTGCCCTTCATTCAGCCTTGCTGACCTCCCAGCCTTTCTAAGGCTCAGCCCCACGGGACTCTGGTGGCTGCCAGCTTGTGAGCTATCTATCTATATTCATTTCATAGCCAAACAGGAGACCCCTTTGCAGGACTTGCACACAGGGAGGCTGTAGCCAGGAAACCCTCTTCTTCCCTGGTCTGGCTCTGCTGGAGCGGGTGGGAACCAAACACCTTCAGTGCTGGTGGCCCTCAGGCCCACAGGTTTAAGGCTGAGGCTGCCCTGACCCTTCCACAGTCATTTCTTCTAGGTTTTCTTGGCCCAGCACTGCCCATCCCACCCCATGAGGCTCACTCATTGCAGATCCCAGCCCACCCTGCCCCTTTCTTCCCCACCCTGGAGGCTCTCTCTGCCTAGTCTACAGTACTGACAGAAAGCAAGGACATGCGGCCTGCATGGTGGGAGCTGGTTGAATTGTCTTTATTAACAAACAGGATATCCAAGGCCACTACATTGAGGAGGGGTGGGGGGGGAGGGAGAAGGGTTACTTGCTGCTCACACTATATACAGATGCAAGCAAGGGGCGTGGAGAGTGAGGGCTCCCTGCTCCCTCCCTCCACCGGGGAAGGGCATGGGCTAGAAGAGGAGAGGGGGGTCGGGAATGGGGGGAATGTTTTGGCTGGCGGGGTCCCCCCTCCATTCCCTGGAGTTTGGGGGAAGGGGAATCATTAAAGTGCTTTCAGAAAATGAAGAAATGGTCCCTGCCCCTGGAGTGGCTGGTGACCCCCCAAAAATCTAGGGCCCAGTGACCCCCCCCAGGGTCTGGTACATTCAAGGGGGGAGCCGGCTCCCCTGACGTGCAAATAAAGGGGTCCAGGGCCCTGCCCAGTCAGCAGCAGTGGGGTAAGGGGTTCAAGCCCCAAGCACTCTCCTCTCAAATGGAGAAAAGGGGGGAGGGGCTAGGCCCACTCAATTCCTGGGAAGGGGAAGCTGTGTCCCTCCCCAGAAGCTGGGGACAGGCACAGTTTTGGGAAGAGGACATGTTGGGGAAGAGGATGGTCACGTGATCACGAAAGCATCAGGGGTCAGAGGTCACGTTCCCAGCAGGCTCCAGTGAAATCAAACCAGTAAAAGCAAAAGCCCAGGGAGGGGAAAGAGGGGCGGCCCGGGAAGCCTGGCTGCAGGGGGAGAGCTGGGTCCAGTGTGGGACAGCCCCAGCCCAGGGCCCCGTCACCAGTTCATGATGCAGTTACGGTTCAGAGTCATGAAGTAAACTTGGCTGCTGCCCCCAGAGCGGACTGAGGCAAAAAACACCTGGGTGGGGCAGGAGAAGAAGTCACCAAGGGCTGAGGTTGGGGGGGTGTCTCAACTGGGAGAGGGAAAGAAGGGAAGAAGGGGTGGCAGAAGAGTTGAGGGAGACACAGAGACTGCAGGAGGAGACTCACAGTGCCCCTCACCCGGAGGAAAGGCAGGCTGGGATGTTAGGGGAGAGGGTGCACCACTCGCCCCCTGGGGGCCAGCTGGGAAGTCCTCGGAATCTGAAGGGAGCGCAGGGCAGTGGTAGTGGCTGACTGCCCTCTGAGCTCCCAGAGGGGCCCGCTTTCAGGAAGCCACCACCACCATCCTCTCCCCAGAACTCTGCCCAGGGGCCTAGGGTCATGGCAGCCGGGACAGCAGGGCTTTCAGAGGGAAGGAGCCTCCCACCTTGTCATTCCGCTCACACAGGAACTTGAGCCTCTGAGCTCGTTTGTGCATGAAGACCCCGTCGAGGTGGCCCGTCTCCACAGAGCGGATCTCAATGGCTTTCTCACCCCAGCCCATTATCTGGTTGGAGCAGATGTAGGCTGTGGGGAACAGGTGAGGGGCTGAGCAGGCTGCACCCCGGGGCCACCTCGGGGCATGTGGCTGGGAGGGCGGCAGCTCACTCACCCACAGAAGTAGGCATCTCCCCCCACTGCAGCACCACATCCTTAATGATGCGCCCGTACGTGTTGACGTAGACACCCTCGTCCTCGTAGCACAGCAGCATCTCCATGCCGTCGGTGTTGGGGAGGAAGATGATGGCATGGGGCGTGATCTGGCTCTGGATCTGGGGAGAAGGAGGGGGACTAGAGTCTCCGTGTCTGGTGCCCAGACTGGGCCATCCCACTCCCCCAGCAGCCCCGCCAAGCTCACGTGCACAGGGATGTAGATGTCATAGCTGTTCCCCGAGTCGACATCCACAGCATGGAAGCCAGCACTGGAGCCATAGATGACCTTGAGCCGCTGCCCCTCCTCTACTGTCAGGTCGACCAGCAGAGGGCGGTGGGGGAGGTCGGCAAAGGACTGCAGAGAACCGGAGGAGAGGAGGGCTCAGGGGCACGGGGAGAGGCGCTGGGACTCCAGATGGTGTTAGGGACCGAGGCTGGGATTACCTTGAAGGCCATGAATTTGTGGTAGGGTTTGGGGGCCCAGGCATACACCTCCACGGAGCTCTTGAGGGCGATGACCAGGAACTTAATCCGCTCGTATTTCACTGGGGGCGGGAGAGAAGAGGGATGCTGAGACTTCCCTTCTTGCGCCACGGGCGCCTCCCCGTGGTCTGTCACTACACTGCCCCACCCAGGCCCCAAGTCCCTGGCTCCCAGATCCATTTCTCTCTTCATGAACAAGTATGCGCTGGCCACTCTGTTGGGACATCCTCACCAACACGGTAGTGCCCGCAGCCCTCCATGTCCCCCACGGTGGTCCAGCCCTGCTTCTTCTCCACTTCTGGGTCATTGTGCAGAATCTTGTTCCGGAGCCAGGACAGGTAATACACCCGCAGTTTGTTCCTTTTCCCTGAGGGACGGACAGACATACACACCCGCCCCCATTCTCATCTGAGGCCCGAATGCCACCGCCCTGGCCTCCTCTGTCAGCATACCACAAGGGGTGAGAAAGTGTGGCCCCACCTTCCAGTGCCTGCCCTCCTCCCAGGCAGAAGATGGTGACAGCGCCAAGGAGCTGAGCCCCTCCTCCCTCCCCCACTCACCACACCTGTACCTGAGATGGTGATGAGCAGGTTGAGCCCCTCCAGCACATCCATCTGCTGGAAGCGTCGCCGCCCAATGAGTCCATACACCTTGCCCTGCCCACTTCGGTCCAGCAACATCAGCCCGTTCTCCGTGCCCACCAGCAGGTTGACCCCTGCAACAGGAGCCCTTGGGCAGGTCAGAGGCTCAGCCAGGCCCTCACCTAACCAGGAGCACAAGAGCCACGCCAGAGCCTCCTCAGCTGTCCCTGCCCTGGCTTACCCCAAAGGGCTGCACAGAGGATCTCGGAGTTGAATCGCTTCTTGTACTTCCGGATCTCAGGGGTCTCACTGTGGGCCCGGGTGTTGGTGGGATTCACGTTGACCACAGAACCCTTCCTCACGTCGTACTGCAGCTGGTCGAGCCGAGTGCCCTCTCCACCCACTAGGGCTGCCAGAAGGAGGAGGAGGTGGGAGGAGGGGCTGCAGCTTCTCACCCCATCTCTTTTTACCTCCATCCCCTATATCAGGTCTTGGCACCTCATAATACGCAGAAAGGAGGAGAAAGACAGGAGGAGAGGAGGTGCATGGGAGAGGGGGATAGAGTGCTGGACTTGGAGTCAAAAGGTCTGGCTCAAGTCCCATTTCTGTCACTTGTTAGCTTTGAGTCTTTGCCCAGGTCCCCTGGCAACTCTGAGCATTTCCTGTCCTGTGGGACAGGAAGGAGGGGTCTCAGAGGCTCTTCCTTGCCTCTGTGCCCAGGCAGGTGCTAGGGCCCAAGGGAGAGGTCCTGTGGCTATGCTTTGTGAGGCTGCGTCTCAAGACCACTGTGCTCCCCTCCAGGCTGCCCCTGGACCCTGGCCTCACAGCAGGTCTGTCCTCCTGTCCTCACCTGTGATGGGGATGCTGTCCCCACTGCCTCCAGGCTGGTAGATCCCTAGATCCACAAACATCGTGAACGAGCTCTTGCCAGGGGCCTTTACCAGCCCACGAGACTGGTACTGTGGTAGGGGGACAGCAGTCAGGCAAACAAGTGCAAGTCCAGCTGCGGCCCTGCCCCTGCTGCTGTTCCCCAGGCTCCAGCTCCCCAACTGGCACCCCCGCTGTCCAGCTCCCAGCGCTCCGCCCCATCCTCTGCCGTTACCCAGCACCGGGACCTCCTGCCCATCGCCAGGGCTCTTCTCTCCCGGCGGACCTGCCTCCGGCCCACTTACGTCACCACTCCCATCCTTCGAGGGTGGGCTTTGGCCTTTGCTGTTCTCGGTGGGTGAGTGGCTGGGCTGGACCACGTCAGGCAGGTTTGTGTACCCATTGCTGTCAGCATGCAGCAGGTTCCGCTCCTCTTCAGGGGTCTACAGGACAGAGGGCAGGGTTGGCGTGGGGCTGAGGAGGGCACACACAGGTACAGGGGAGGGAGCAGAGGCTCACTCACGCGCTGGACCACCATGGTGCCGCCCCCGTATGGGGGCTGGGTCCCGGTGATCTCCTCGACGTCGTGGACCACCATGGTGCTGACGCTGTCTGTATCCCCATCGCTGCTGTGAGAGAGGAAGGTGGGGCCCCTCCAGGTCCTGCCCGTGGCCACAGAAGTGCCAAAGGCAGCAGATGGCAGCCAGAGCCCAGGCTTTTGTCTCTATTCAAAACACAACCTGCTCCACCCTCACGGTGTAGCCCCTGCTCCACCGTGAGGTGCTTCCCTGCATGGCACACAGGGCAGGCTGGCACAGGGGCAGACAGGCACTTGAAGAGGCCACCCCACAACACACAGGGCAGCGGGAGAGAGACAGGAACCTGCACCCTCACCCCACTCTCTAGAGAAGGGAGCCGCTCTCCCTCAGACTTGCCCCAAAGCCCCACCTCTTCCCCACTGCCACTTCCCCTCCCTCCCTGTGCCTTGGAGTGGGAGGGCCCCACTCCCGATGCCGTACCGGCCCCCAGGGGTATCTCTGCTCCCCTCTGCTGGCCCGCCTTCGCCTTCCTCCTCGTCGTCCTCACTGCTTTCCACCTCCTCGCTGGACGACGAGTAGTCCATGGCCTTCTTGGGAGGCCGAGGGGCCTCGTCCAGAGTCCGCTCTTTCAGCAACACAAAGTCCTGCAGGGAGGAGCCACGTGAGGGGCAGGGAGAAGCTGGGCCTGGGTGGAGGTAGACAAAGGGTGCCGGGACACCCCAGCAGGGCGACAGGAGGGGCTCCCACAAGCAGGCCCATCTCACTAACCTCACCAATTGCTCGCTTATAGCTCTGGGAGGGGCCGCAGGGGAAGAAAGAGCCAGAAGAGAGGTTAGGAGAGAGGTTAGGAGAGAGGTTAGGAAAGGTTAGCACCATGAGAAGCACCAGTCCCTCCATCCCCACAGCCCTTCTCGGTAGATCAGCGGAGACCCCACCCCTGACACCCAGCACCCTGAGGCTAAGCCCCAAACCAGGATGAGGCAGGCCATGCCTGCCACCAGGTGACTCACTGCGGGCCGGCCTGGCCGTGAGCGGTGGTCGTCGGGCTTGGCTTTATTCCCAGGGGAGAGCACAGGGGAGCTGTCCGGTTTGGAGGAGACTGGACGGCAGGGTGGAAGAAGGTCACTGATGCCTGAACAAGGGATGGCCTCAAGCCCACACCCTGAGCCCCAGAACTCAGCCCCAAGTTCCATACCCACACAGGTCCTCCCTGTCCGTGTGGGTGCCCCAGTCCAAAGCCACCAAAGGCAGGGTCCATGGTGATAAGCCCCCAGGCCCAGAGCAGGCTGCCCAGCCCTGGCTCACATACCTCCCACGCGGTTCCGCTCCAGTGAGCCAGCCTGGGGGAGGTGCCCGTGAGAGGCTGGAAGGACGCTGTCCGAGCGTTCCCAGCCAGGGTCGCTCCTCCTGAGGTCGGGGTTACTGTTGGGGGGGCAGAGTCAGGGTCAGGGAGGCACGGTGCTCCCTTCTCTGGGGTGCTGAGCTGCACTGCAGAGGGAGCCATCACCAGGGAAGCGGGTGGCAGAAGTGAGAGGTGAGAGTGAGTTGGGGGACAACTCTATTACCTAGAGGCGTTGGGCGGGCCAGGGGGCTGAGCAGGGGGCCCTGGAGGCTTTGGGGTGCCCCGCTCTGCCCGCCTTTGCAGATAGATTTGCCAGGCGGAGTTGCTGCGAGGTCTGTGAAGGGAGCACAGGGGTGCCGAGGGGGCGGCGGGGGGGCGCTGAGGTGATGGGGCTGGGGCTTTCCCACCCCCAGGCGGGTAGGCTGGTAAAGTCCCTGTGCCCCCCCTACTCCCTAGGCTGCCCTCAGACCTCACCCAGGCGTTGCCCTACCCAGGCATTACCTGGCACGGACTGCCTGGGCTGGCCGGGACCCTCCGGCCCCACTGGTGTTAAGGGCAGTGGCGATAGATGAGGTCCTCTGAGGCACCTGTGGAGAGAAGTCCACGTGCTGCGAGCTGGCGCTGCGACAGGCACTTCTCAGATGTTTAAGCCTCACCTCTGAGAGGTGAGCTCCCCCACTTTGATGGATGAGAAAACTGAGGTTCAGGGGAGTTAGTGAATACGTCCAGGGTTATGAAGCCGGATGATGGTGGAGCTGCGGTTCTAACTGGCAAAGTCTGCCCCTTAGCGCTCCCAAAACACCCTGGGCGTTTCTCCGTTCCCACGCTCCCCACAGGGATCGATGCCACCCCTCCACGTCGCGTCCTCAGCTGGACGGCTGACCCCGGCAGGGCAGCGCCCTGGCTTTCTCTCGCTTCCCGCCCTGCACTCTTCCTCCATGTGGCCTGCCCCTTCACTGCCCTCCTTCTCTTCATGACTAGCTCTCTGCTTTTCCCTGGGCCTGCAGAACTGTCCTTACCTTGGGTGGGGCCTCGTTATCTGGGCGGACCCAGGCTGGGGGATTCGGGCTGGGGCCAGGTCCTTCAGAGGTGGGGTCTGAATTCTGGCGGATGACAGCTCCTCGGGCACTGGGCGTGGCAGTGGGTGCGGGGATGGCAGGGTCGGGGTCATGGGAGGCTGGGAAGGCAGCCAGGTTTCGGGTGGGCTGGTCCTGCAGGGACTGGGATCGGGGTACAGGTGCTGCATATGGCTTCAGTGGGACCCGGTGTGCCACCAGGCTCTGCAGGGAGAGACCAGGGAGGGTGGGCTGCCTGCTCCATGGCACATCCCCACCTGCGAATTGGGGTCTGGGGTGGGAAAGGACTTTAGCTGCCCCTTCCTCCATTGAAGGACAAGGGGTTCCTTGAGCCTGATGACAGCTAAGTCAGGACAGACACAGGCAGCAAGAAGCAGGTGAGTGAGTCTGTCCACAAAGCCTGTGCTCTGTAATCCTGGCTCACGGCTGAGCAGGTGTGTGTGTGTGTGTGTGTGTGTGCGCGCGTGTGTGTGTACCTGTGCTCTGAACAAAGCTCCCTGTGTCTTCATTAAGACAGGGGTGGGGAGAGACTCACCTTGTGCGGTCCCTCCTGGGGCTCCACCGGCCTCTGCATAGGAGGAGTCTGGGAAAGGGGTCCTGGGGGCCCTGGGGAGGCCTGGGGGATGGGGGGCTCAGGCCCCGTGCTGCCTGGCTTGCTCTTGGCCAAGGGAGAGTTCTGCTGCTTGTTCATCCTTGTTCTCTCTTCTACCTGTGATGTGAAGGGATGTCAAGCAGGCCAGCTCTTGCCTCCCTGTTCTCAAAACTGAGGGTCCCACCTGCCCTAACTACTCCCGCCCTATGCTCTGTGCTGTGTGCTCCTTTCCCCTACTTGGTGCCTGCTACTGTGAACTACTACTTCTTGTGGCTCTCCAGGCCTCAGGCAGTGGGACTGCAGTCTCAGGAGGCAAAGGAGGCAGTGAGTACCTCTCGGGCCCAGGCTGGTTTGTCAGCGGGATTCATGCCCCGACCATAATGGTACAGGGGCTTCCTGTCCCCAGGCAGGAGCTGCTGCTGCTGCTGTTTCTGAAGCTGCTGCTGCTGTTGCTGCTGCTGCAGGGACTTGAGGTAGGCATGCTCCTGCTGCAGCTGCCTCTGGAGACGTTCTGACTGCCGCTGCTCCTCCAGCTGCTTCCGCTTGTATTCCTGGGCCCAAGGGTAGGGAGAGAGGGCTCAGCAGGGTGTGGCCCTGGGAGTTAGAGCAGGCATGCCCTCTCTTTTCTCCAACTGCCTAGAGAGGAGATGTATTCCCTTGATGTCCTGGGTGAATCCCTTCCCTTGAAGTGTTCCCATCCCGTTCCAGCAAAGAAGCTCTGAAAAGCATCTTCCCAGAGGACGCTGAGGGACCCGTTACCAGCAGCAGGGCCTGTTCCTGGAGCAGCTGTTGCTGAAGGATCTCGAGCTGTCGCTGCTCCTCCTCTAGCCTGTGACGAATATATTCCTGGGGGACGGGGTGTGGGGTGGGGGGCAGAGGGCAGGGAAGGAGGAAGAGGCAGAGGAGGGCAGCAGCAGCGAGTTGGAGAAGGAGGAAGGGATCCGCAGGAGAATGAGGGGGTGCAGGGGAAGAGTAAGAGAGAGGTAGGGGAGGGGATGACATGAGCCCCAGGGGGCCATGCGGCACAGATGGGGAAGAAGAGGGCACAGGGAATGAGGGGGGATGAGGAAGGGGTCGGGGAGTCAGGGATGGGGTAAAGAGATGGGAATGAGGCAGGGAAGGAAGAGGGAGGGGGTCAGGGTTGGGGTTGAAGGGTGGGAGAAAACAGAGAGAAAGAGTGAAGCTAGAAAAGATAGGAGGAATCTGGGGGTGGGGGAGAGAAGGGGGAAGGGCACGGGGAGCAGGGGCGGCAGGCAGCAGGAGCGGGAGGGCGGGAGGGCAGGGATGCGGGTGCGGCGCTCTACCTGCTCGCGCTCCGCCTGCCGCCGCTCCTCCTCCCGCCGCAGAGCCTGCATGTCCTCCAGCCGCCGCTGCTGCTCCTTCTCCTGCAGCTTCCGCTGCTCCCGCTCCCGCCGCTGTTGCTGTGGGGAGAGCCAGGTGGTCTTAAGAACCATACCGGACATCGCGTCAGCACTGCCCCTCCATGGACAGGGAGGGGAGCCCTCCTTGCTCACCACGGAGGGTGGTAAGAGAGACCGGCTTCCGCTTGTTTCTGCAACTATACCCATCCCCACCCAAGGGCCCGCGGGGCTGGGCTCGGGTAAACAGCCGGTAGCTGTGACGAGAGAGGCTGTGAGACTGACTGCTGCCTGTGGGGTGGGCTTAGCTAGACAACACCTTCCACTCCCCACACCCCACCAAACAACAAACCAAAGCCGAACTCAAAACAAGCCTCCCCAGCACTCCTAGCCTAAAATCGACCTTTGCCTGAAGTCCATATAGAGCGGGTCGTAGTGATAGCCTTTGGCCACAAGAGGGCACCAGGTGCCCGTGCACAGAAAGCACAGAAAAGAGGGACCTGGCCCACTCCTTGACAAGCACCAGTGCCCAGGTGGTACTTTACTTTCACGGTATTTCTGTGGTGGCTTTCACGAAGTCTACCACCACCACCACCAACAAAAGCACAAACCCTGAGGGACCCTTACACTTGAGGGAACTTGTGCCTACTTCTGCAATGAAGTTGCCAGCAGGCCTTCTCCAGGTAACACCTTGTTAGATAGGACTCTGTGGCTGGGCGCGGTGGCTCACACCTGTAATCCCAGCACTTTGGGAGGCCGAGGCAGGTGGATCACCTGAGGTCGGGAGTTCGAGACCAGCCTGACCAACATGCAGAAACCCTGTCTCTACTGAAAAAAATACAAAATTAGCCGGGCGTGGTGGCGCATTCCTGTAATCCCAGCTCCTCAGGAGGCTGAGGCAGGAGAATCACTTGAACCTGGGAGACGGAGGTTTTGCGGTGAGCCTAGAGTGCGCCACTGCACTCGTCACCCTGGGCAACAAGAGCAAAACTCCATCTCAAAAAAAAAAAAAAAAAAAAGATAGGACTTTGTTACTATACTATCTGAACGCTATATTTATTTTATTTTTTTATTTTTTGGAGACGGAGTCTTGCTCTGTTCCCCAGGCCAGTGGCGTGATCTCAGCTCACTACAACTTCCACCTCCCAGGTTCAAGCGATTCTCCTGCCTCAGCCTCCTAAGTAGCTGGAACTATAGGCGCGTGCACCACCACGCCTGGCTAATTTGTGTATTTTTAGTAGAGATGGGGTTTCACCATATTAGACAGGCTGGTCTCGAACTCCTGATCTCACGATCCGCCCCCATCCTCCGACTCCCAAAGTGCTGGGATTACAGGCGTGAGCCACCTCACCTGGCCTATATTTTCAAAACTGCACAAGGCTCTTCTGTAGCAGGTTTTCTTGCAAATTATTTTTTGTTCAACAATGAGAGGGCCTACTTTGGAGGTAGCAGGTGGACAGTGTGGGTGCTGCGGGTTATTGCTTATTATTATTAGAGACGGAGTCTTGCTCTGTCACCCAGGCTGGAGTGCAGTGGTGTGATCTCTGCTCACTGCAACCTCCGCCTCCCGGGTTCAAGCAATTCTCCTGCCTCAGCCTCCGGAGTAGCTGGGATTACAGGCATGCGCCACCACACCTGGCTAATTTTTGTATTATTAGTAGAGATGGGGTTTCACCATGTTGGCCAGGCTGGTCTCAAACTCCTGACCTCAGGTGATCTACCCACCTCAGCCTCCCAAAGTGATGGGATTACATTTTGTGTTAAGTCCAGCTCATCATGAAATTTGAAATCATATAATTGTTTCAACAGAAATGCCATTCATTTAAGGCATTTTAAAACCTGTTCTCCAAGGCCCTAATGGACCCGGGGCAGGTCAGGAGGAGGCCGCGCCAGGCCTGGGCCCTTCGGAGACAGCCCACCTCCTCCACGCGGCGCCGCTCCTCCTTCTGCTCCTCTATGCGCCGCTGCCGCTGGTGCAGCAGGTGTTTGATGTGTGCCTCGGGGTCTCGCTGCTGCTGCTGCTGCAGCTGCTGCTGCTGTTTTAAAGCCTCTGAGTTGCTCTTATTTTCCTGCTGGAGCCGGAGAAACTCCCGGCGTAGAGTCGACTCTCCAGGCACGTTCATGATGGAGCTGGGCAGGGGTGGCACAAAGAAGCACTGGGGTCAGAACCCTGTTGGTTCCCACTCTCAACCCCGTGGGCCCGCCTGAGTGGGTGCTTTAACTGGATCAAAGCCTCTGCCTCTGGCCACTCCCAGGTGGCCAGGAGACTTACCGTCCCCTTCTGCCCAGTCTTCAGTCCTGTCCTCCTTTCCTATTACTGCTGCGCCCCACATTCACCACAAATTGCTCTCTCCCCAGCTCTTGCTCAGTCATTGGTTCCACTTCTTAGCACTCAGAAATTTGGTTTCCAGGAGTCTCTACCTCTCTGTGCCCACCACCCCCAGGCTGAGAGTCCCCAAAGCCAAGCACCACTGTAGTCCCCCCACTCAGCGATGACCGCCCCAACCCCCACTCCACCTGCCAGGCCTACCTTGGCTCTCCTTCCTCTCCATGGCTGTCATCTTCCTCCTCGCTGCCGCTGTACTCATATTCTGTCTCCTCTGCAGGGGGAGGCCACTGCAGTTATCTCACCCAGCGCCCCAGACCCGCCGTGGGCTAGGGAAACCTTGGGTGGGGATAACCAGGTCTCTCTGGCTGGGCAAGCATGAGGGGCCCCACCCACTTCCTGGGGGCAATGGGAGGACAGCGGGTCTCAGGTGTGGGCCTGGACAGGACCGGGACTGGGTCCCAGGGCAGCTGAGGTGTGGCAGAGCCTGTGCTTGTGCTCGCACACACATGTGCTTAGCATGGAGTTTTTGTAAGGATGCGAAAGGCCGGTCCTCCTTTGGAAGGCTGATTCAGACTGGGAGGGAAAGGAGGGAAAACCCCTTGGGGGTTGCAAGTTTGAGAACGATCTCCTTGGACAGGGAGAGCTGGGGCCAAGGAGGGGAGCAGGAAGGGGTGCCAGGAGCGAGCAGGGCTGGCAGAGAGGAGCCAGGCTGGAGTGTCCCCTAGTACCTGCCCCCTCCAGCCTGCCCACTGACCTTTCTCACCCCGCTTCTTCCGGGATCGGTCAATGTGGTCCTTAAGCTGGATGCGGACCTGCCGCTCCGTGGGCTGGTCCCGGATGAAGGGAAACTTCAGTAGCTGCTCCGTGGGTGGGCGGCTCAGGTAAGTCTTGATGAGACATGTGTCAATGAAGTCAATGAACTTCTTAGACCTGGAAACAGTGGTGGCTCACACTGGGAGGGTCCCCTCAGAAGGGATGGGTGCAGGAGGAAGAGGGTGGATCATTCATCCACAAGCCACCTTGACGTCCCTCCTGTCTTCATATCCCAACACCAGTCACCGCCCTCTGCCCCCCAGAATCTCTTCTCTGGTGAGATCCAAGCCTGAGCACAGAGGGCATGAAGGTGGGGATGGCCTTGTCCAGGGACCTTCCTTCCCAGAGCCCACACTCTCAGAGACCTACCACTTCTTGGACTTGAGCCTGGGCGGAGGGTTCCGAGGAATGAGGAAGAGGGCTCGCATGGGGTGCATGTCACACAGAGCTGGACACAGAGGAGACACCCTCAGTCCCTTTCACTGCACTGGGAGCTACAGGACCCTTCCTCGGCAGGGTCCCAGGACCCACCTCCTCCCTACAGCCACTCTCTGGGCCCTTCCTTTCCCTCCCCTCCCACTCCCGGCAGACTCAGAACTTACGGGGGGCTCCCTCTGCCATCTCGATGGCTGTGATTCCTAGAGACCAAATATCACTCTATAGACGGGAAAGAAGGAACAAGTGAATATTCCTGACAACTCTGCCCTGCAACCTCTCTTCACCCACCATCCTGGCCTCTCAGGAGCCTTCCTGGGCCACACCCATTCCTGCAGCAGTGCCTTCCAACCCATCCCATCTTCCCACCCACACTTGCCTTGCCGTAAGATGTTCCCCAGCCCCTCACTGCTAACATCATCTGACCTTCCTCTGTTCCCCAGCCTGCTCAGGCCCCGTGGTCCCCATATTGCTTCCCGCCCTTGGCAGCCCCCATGCTCCCAACTTTCCACTCCATACCCTGTAATCATAGGTGGCATCAGGGTTCTCATCACAGGCGATGACCTCTGGAGCCATCCAGTAGGGAGTCCCAATGAAAGTGTTCCGTCTGCCCACGGTGCGGTCCAGCTGAGCACTCACCCCAAAATCCACTGTGAAGACACAGAGGGAGGGGTCAGTGTGGGGAGTCACCTCTGCTCCCTTGCCTCACATCCCTGCGTGCACACACAGGACTTGCCTGAGCCAGCTGTGGTCCTGGCCCGACCCAGACACCCCAGCACCCTCCTTTACCCCACCACCATCCTGAAGAACCCGATTCCATCTTCCAGCATCTTAGAGAAAAACCCAGGTAAAAGGATCACGGACAGCATCCCAGGCAGGAGGGCCATCAGATCCCATCTCCCCAGAGCAACCTGCAGAGCACCTGGCCCGTAACAGGTGACAGGTGAAGAGCTTCCTGAGGGATTTTCAGCAGGAGGCAGGGCATTCCAGGGGGAGAGGGGAAAGGGGAGGGAGTGAGCCTCCCCAGTAGGAAGGGAGTTGGGCCTGAGCCACCAGAGAGAAAAAGGGGCCCCTCATTCTCT